>NC_000012.12:40490431-40641946 GCF_000001405.40 Homo sapiens | reverse complement strand
TTGAAGATCAAATGAATGAAATGAAGTGAAAAGAGAAGTTTAGAAAAAAAGAGTAAAAAGAAACCAACGAAGCCTCCAAGAAATATGGGACTATGTGAAAATACCAAATCTACATCTGATTGGTGTACCTGAATGAGACAGGGAGAATGGAACCTAGTTGGAAAACACTCTTCAGGATACTATCCAGGAGAACTTCCCTAACCTAGCAAGGCAGGCTAACATTCAAATTCAGGAAATACAGAGATTGACACAGAGATACTCCTCAAGAAGAGCAACTCCAAGAAACATAATTGTCAGATTCACCAAAGTTGAAATGAAGGAAAAAATGTTAAGAGCAGCCAGAGAGAAAGGCTGGGTTACCCACAAAGGGAAGCCCATAAGACTAACAGTGGATTTCTCGGCAGAAACTCTGCAAGCCAGAAGAGAGTGGGGGCCAATATTCAACATTCTTAAAGAAAAGAATTTTCAACCCAGAAATTCATATCCAGCCAAACTAAGCTAAATAAGTAACGGAGAAATAAAATCCTTTACAGACAAACAAATGCTGAGAGATTTTGTCACCACCAGGCCTGCCTTACAAAAGCTCTGGAAGGAAGCACTAAACATGGAAAGGAACAACCGGTACCAGCCACTGCAAAAACATGCCAAATTTTAAAGACCATTGATGCTAGCAAGAAACTGCATCAACTAACGAGAAAAATAACAGCTAACATCATAATGACAGGATCAAATTCACACATAACAATATTAACCTTAAATGTAAATGGGGTAAATGCTCCAATTAAAAGACAGATACTGGCAAATTGGATAAAGAGTCAAGACCCATCAGTGTGCTGTACTCAGGAGACCTATCTCATGTGCAGAGACACACACAGGCTCAAAATAAAGGGATGGAGGAAGATCTACCAAACAAATGGAAAACAACAACAACAAAAAGCAGGGGTTGCAATCCTAGTCTCTGATAAAACAGACTTTAAACCATCAAAAATCAAAGGAGACAAAGAAGGCCATTACATAATGGTAAAGGGATCAATTCAACAAGAAGAGCTAACTATCCTAAATATATATGCACCCAATACAGAAGCACCCAGATTCATAAAGCAAGTCCTTACAGACCTACAAAGAGACTAAGAGTCCGACACAATAATAATGGGATACTTTAACACCCCACTGTCAACATTAGACAGATCAACAAGACAGAAGGTTAACAAGAATATTCAGGAATTGACCTCAGCTCTGCACCAAGAGGACCTAATAGACATCTACAGGACTCTCCACCCCAAATCAAAAGAACATACATTTTTCTCAGCACCATATCACACTTATTCAAAAATTGACCACATAATCGGAAGTAAAGCACTCCTCAGCAAATGTAAAAGAACAGAAATTATAACAAACTGTCTCTCAGACCACAGTGCAATCAAACTAGAACTCAGGATTAAGAAACTCACTCAAAACCACTCAACTGCATGGAAACTGAACAACCTGCTACTGAATGACTACTGGGTACATAATAAAATGAAGGCAGAAGTAAAGAAATGATCAACTTGGCTTCATCCTTGGGATGCAAGGTTGGTTCAACATACACAAATCAATAAATGCAATCCATCATATAAACAGAAGCAAAGACAAAAACCACATGATTATCTCAATAGATGCGGAAAAGGCCTTCGACAAAATTCAACAGCACTTCATGCTAAAAACTCTCAAGAAACTAGGTATTGATGGGATGAATCTCAAAATAATAAGAGCTATTTATAAAAAACCCACAGCCAATATCATACTGAATGGGCAAAAACTGGAAGCATTCCCTTTGAAAACTGGCACAAGACAGGGATGCCCTCTCTCATCACTCCTATTCAACATAGTGTTGGAAGTTCTGGCCAGGGCAATCAGGCAGGAGAAAGAAATAAAGGGTATTCAATTAGGAAAAGAGGAAGTCAAATTGTTCCTATTTGCAGATGACATGATTGTATATTTAGAAAACCCCATCATCTCAGCCCAAAATCTCCTTAAGCTGATAAGCAACTTCAGCAGAGTCTCAGGATACAAAATCAATGTGCAAAAATCACAAGCATTCCTATACACCAATAACAGACAAACAGAGAGCCAAATCATGAGTGAACTGCCATTCACAATTACTTCAAAGAGAATAAAATACTAAGGAATCCAACTTACAAGGGATGTGAAGGACCTCTTCAAGGAGAACTACAAACCACTGATCAACAAAATAAAAGACGACACAAACGAATGGAAGAACATTCCATGCTCATGGATAGGAAGAATCAATATTGTGAAAATGGCCATACTGCCCAAGGTAATTTATAGATTCAATGTCATCCCCATCAAGCTACCAATGACTTTCTTCACAGAATTGGAAAAAAAACTACTTTAAAGTTCATATGGAACCAAAAAAGAGCCCACATTGCCAAGTCAATCCTAAGCCAAAAGAACAAAGCTGAAGGCATCTTGCTACCTGACTTCAAACTATACTACAAGGCTACAGTAACCAAAACAGCATGGTACTGGTACCAGCACAGAGATATAGACCCATGGAACAGAACAGAGCCCTCAGAAATAATACCACACATCTGCAACCATCTAATCTTTGACAAACCTGACAAAAACAAGAAATGGGGAAAGGATTCCCTATTTAATAAATGGTGCTGGGAAAACTGGCTAGCCATATGTGGAAAGCTGAAACTGGATCCCTTCCTTACACCTTATACAAAAATTAATTCAAGATGGGTTAAAGACTTAAATGTTAGACCTAAAACCATGAAAACCCTAGAAGAAAACCTAGGCAATACCATTCAGGACATAGGCATGGGCAAGGACTTCATGTCTAAATCACCAAAAGCAATGGCAACAAAAGCCAAAATTGACAAATGGGATGTAATTAAACTAAACAGCTTCTGCACAGCAAAAGAAACTACCATCAGAGTGAACAGGCAACCTACAGAATGGGCGAAAATTTTTACAATCTACCCATCTGACAAAGGACTAATATCCAGAATCTACAAAGAACTTAAACAAATCTCAGGAAAAAATCAAACAATCCCATCAACAAGTGGGCGAAGGATGTGAACAGACACTTCACAAAAGAAGACATTTATGCAGCCAACAGGCCCATGAAAAAATGCTCATCATCACTGGCCATCAGAGAAATGCAAATCAAAACCACAATGAGATACCATCTCACACCAGTTAGAATGGTGACCATTGAAAAGTCAGGAAACAGTAGGTACTGGAGAGGATGTGGAGAAATAGGAACACTTTTGTACTGTTGGTGGGACTGTAAACTAGTTCAACTATTGTGGAAGACAGCGTGGCAATTCCTCAAGGATCTAGAACTAGAAATACCATTTGACCCAGCCATCCCATTACTGGGTATATACCCAAAGGATTATAAATCATGCTGCTATAAAGACACATGCACACGTATGTTTATTGCAGTACTAGTCACAATAGCAATGACTTGGAACTAACCCAAATGTCCATCAATGATAGACTGGATTAAGAAAATGTGGCACATATACACCATGGAATACTATGTAGCGATGAAAAAGGATGAGTTCATGTCCTTTGTAGGGACATGGATGAAGCTGGAAACCATCATTTTCAGCAAACTATCGCAAGGACAAAAAACCAAACACTGCATGTTCTCACTCATAGGTGGGAACTGAACAATGAGAACACTTGGACACAGGAAGGGGAACATCACACACCAGGCCTGTCATGGGGTGGGGGCAGGGAGGAGGGATAGCATTAGGAGATATACCTAATGTAAATGATGTGTTAACAGGTGCAGCACACCAACATGGCACATGTATACATATGTAACAAACCTGCATGTTGTGCACATGTACCCTAGAACTTAAAGTATAATTTAAAAAAATAAATAAACAAAGCAAAAAAAAAAAAGACAGATTTCAGGGCAAGTTCATACAGTAAAGTGAAAGTAAGCTTATTAGGAAAGTAATGGAATAAAAGAATGGCTACTCCATAGGCAGAGCAGCAGCCTGAGCTGCTGGTTGTCCGTTTTTATGGTTATTTATTGATTATATACTAAACAAGGGGTGGATTATTCATGAGTTTTCCAGGAAAGGGGTGGGCAATTCCTGAAACCAAGAGTTCCCCCACTTCTTGACCATATAGGGTAAATTCCTAACATTGCCATGGCATTTGTAAACTGTGATGGCACTGATGGGAGTGTCTTTTAGCATGCTAATGCATTATAATTAGCATGTAATGAGCTGTGAGGACAACCAGAGGTCACTCTTGTCGCCATCTTGGTTTTGGTGGGTTTTGGCCAGCTTCTTTACTGCGGTCTGTTTTATCGGCAAGGTCTTTATGACCTGTATCTTGCAATGACCTCCTGTCTCATCCTATGACTAAGAATGCCTTAACCTCTTGGGAATGCAGACCAGTAGGTCTTAGCCTTATTTTACCAAGCCCCTATTCAAGATGGAGTTGCTCTTGTTCAAACTCCTCTGACAGTTTGGCTCTCTGTCCCCTCCCAAATCTCATCTGGAATTGTAATCCCCATAATCCCCACATGTCAATGGAGATATCTCGTGGGAGGTGATTGGATCATGGGGGTGGTTTCCCTCATGCTGTTCTCATGATAGTGAGTGAGTTCTCATGAGATCTGATGGTTTTATAAGTTTGTGAGTGTTCCTCCTTCACACTGTCTCACTCACCTGCTGTCATGTAAGATGTGCCTGCTTCCCTTTCTGCCATAATTGTACGAGGCCTCCCAGCCACGCGGATTTGTGAGTCAATTAAACCTCTTTTCTTTATAAATTACCCAGTCTCAGGGCAGGTCTTTATAGCAATGTGAAAATGGACTAATACACGGCTTTTAAGTTGTATAGATGGTCCTATATCTTATGATTTCAGGACAGTGATGAAGATTTTGAGATTTTGGCTGAGCCTCTTATATTAAGTCGGATAGAGTGTTATTTTCACAAGAATTTACTGCCCCTCCCTGTGGGAGAATTATTAGTGCCCATTCTACTGACATCAGATTTGTCAAAGGCAACTTCAAGGGTCTTTGTCTTACTTTAGAATATGGAAATGACAAGACAAACTTAGAAGAGAGTCACATTGTGTGACATCATGCAAACTTTATTCCTAAGGTGAGTTCTGGAGGACATCCTAGAAACCTTTGAAAAGCTCTGTTCACCCATAGCTGCCTATAGAAGTCCTATAAGGAGCTATGAACCTCTTCATAGTAATTATAATGTCAGTTCTTTCTAAATAAATTTATAAATGTATTGCTATTGCAATTAAATTCTCAGCAGGTTTCTGTAGGTGTCTATATGGAAATTGAAAAGCTAATTCTAAAATGTATACGGAAATACTAAAGAAATTTTTTTTAAATCTTGAAAAATGTAGGTGGAGGACTTACAATTCCAGATATCACAATTTACTATAAAGCTACAATAATTACAACAATATAGTGTTGTACCAGGAAGTAAATAGACCAATTAAATGGAATAGAAAATCCGGGAGTAGACACATACATATCCAACCAATCTAATATGTGACAAAAGTGCCACTGAGAGTAGGTAAATGATTTTTTTTAAGTAATTGGTGCTGTATCAGTAGATATCCATATGAAAAAACAAATTTTGATCCCCATTTTACATCTAATACAATAATTAATTCATGGACCTAATTGTGAAATATACATACAATGCTTTAGAAGGTAACATGGGTAAATACTTTTGTGAAATGAGGTATGCAAAGATTTCTAAACAGAACAAAAAGCACCAACCAAAAAAGGAACGATTAATAAATTATACTTGTTAAATTAAGAAATTCTGTTATTAAAAGGCACTATTAAGAGAGTGACAAGTGAAGCCATATGTTGGAAGAAGACATCCAGGCTGGCAGCCTGCCCTAAAGATTTGATACTTACCTTCCTAGACCTCATGGTCATGTATCAAATCTTCATTTGATCTTCTGCAAGTTTATTACCTTCACTTCTTCTTCAACACTGATTTTGCTCTGTGATTGGGTTTGGTAAGTCTAGCCATACCTATTTCTACTTCTGTCATCTGTCTTTGCATCCTAATCTTCACTTCTTACTCCTGGCTTTCTATGATTGTTTCCTATCTTCTTCAGTCAGATGATTATTAGAAGACAGTCAGACATCTTCTAATAATTTCTGTTTTATCTGTTTCTAATAGAAAGGAATCTTCAGAACTGTAAATATTCCCTCATTAATCAGCATTTTAAACATATTTATAGACTATTTTCTCTAGTAATTTGGAATGGAGAGCCACAAAATCAAGCCTAGCATTTGCCAAAAGACAAGCTAGAATATCTCTTGTACCATTTACTATCCATGTGGGTGCTGGTAGCTTTTCTATCCAAATGGAAGGAAAGCTTGATGTACTCAATGTGTGATTTCTAATCATAATCCAGTGTGATTTTGTTGAATTCAAGTCAGAGCTTAAGCCTTCTTTGCCAAGATTTCAGACCAAAATGCACTGTGCATGGTGTTATTCTGGCTTTCTATGGAAGGGAAAAAAGCATTTCCTTAGGCAACCAGATATCCTCACATCCACTTAGCCTTTGCCTCTCTTTCCTGGCATGTTGCCTGCTGAGAGTTATGGACTCTTAATGATATGTAGAGGTAAGCTAGGATCAGACAGTTTTTATTTACAAGAAACAGAATCCACCATAGACATATTTTATGTCGACATTGGTTTAAATGTAGGAAACAAAGTGCTTACAAAAATCATTAAAGGAGTGGAAAGGCAGACTTTATCCTAAGCTTCCTCCAGGAATGATTCCAAGATCAATACAATAGAACTGGCTCACCAGGGAACTTACCACAGTTAGGAAGAGAGGGAAACACAGAAGCCTTTCTGACTGTGATCCAGAAAATAAGCCAGCATCTCCACAACTCCCTCCTGACACCCATTCTGTAGTCACTCTCAATGACTAGAGAATGCATTGCTGAGTAGGGCCACCAATGCTGCTTGAATCTGCCTTTCCAAGACTATGCTCCAGAAAAGATGCTGGAAATCAATGTTCCCCAGACCAAATCCAGGCAGCAAACATGACCACACTCCTCTGTTTACGTACTGCCTGTTGCTGCTTTCACTGCACGGCAGAGTTGAGGAATTGGGACAGAGCTTGTATGTGGCCTCTTGTTCCATGAAACTGGTATATATGCTCTATAGCCCTTTACAGAAAACATATATGAACTTCCAGTCTAGAAGTCAGTGGTTGGAATGCTGTTTCAGTGAAACCAACAAGTATACAATGGTGCCTGCCAAAAATAACACCCAAAGCACAGGGAGACGTCTGCTCTCCATGCCTCAGGCAGTTCTATGTAACATACAGTACATAATTCTCATCTTCAATCTCATCTTCAAAGGAATCTAAAACATGTAGTTTTAATTTTTGCAATCTTTGCTGTATAGAAAGTCACATGAGGAGAAAGTTGGAGTGAATATGAGGGTCGTTTCATTATATCCACCAAGTTCAATTTTCTGGGTATGCAACGTTTATCCATACATTTCTCCATATACTTAAACTTCCAACAATGGCAATCTAAAATAACCATTACCATACAGATATAATGCATTTGCCATCTCTCCAAAAGGAGAGAACCAAAGTCTCATCAGTCACTCTAATGATCTTTTTGTGATACTCATCTTCTTTTAGTTCAGCTGAAATGCCACCTTCAACATTATTGTCCTTTTTCCTTTCCTCTTTCCTACACACTGAAATATGCATGTGAGGTTCAACTATCTTTGACATTTCAGGCAGGGAAAGCATTCTAGGAATGGGAGAGCAAGCAGTAGAAGAATTTGGATCTCTGATAGTGGCTCAAGCCACCATCAAGCCCTAGACTATAAGCCCAACTATTATATGAAAGAGAAATAAACCTTTACCTTAAGCTACTGGATTTTAGACTCTCTTCTACAGCAGCTTAGATTGTTCTCTTATGTATAAAGCTATAAATTAAATTAGAAATTTAACATCGATGATACATTCTATGAGACAAGCCTAAGCAGTAAAGTGAGACTCCATCTCTACAAAAAAAAATTAAAAATTAGCTGGGTGTGGTGGTGTGTGCCTGTAATCCCAGTTCCAGCTACTCAGGAGTCTAAGGCAGGAGGATCACTTGAGCCCAGGAGTTTGAGGATGCTATGAGCTATAGTTGTACCACTGCACTCCAGCCAGGATGATAGAGCAAGACCCTGTCTTACACACACACACACACACACACACACACATACACACACACACACAAATCCTATATAAAAAAAGAAAAGGAAGGGAAGAGAAGAAAAAAGTTAACTAGTAGGTAGAGATATATACATCACATAAACAGATAGAACTATGTATAGCTATGACCTACATCACATTCTTTGCCCAACGCCTTAGCTGATTAGTTTTGTTTGTTTTGCTTGATGGTTTGTTTGTTTTGTCTGCACGTTGATCCAAATCTTTATTCTGAGATGTCTGGCTCCTTGCTGGTCTTGCCTGAATGAGCATTTGGCCAATATAATTTTCCATTATTTTTTATCCCTAGACTGGCCACTATTTGGAGACAATTTAGATGACTTGGCTCCAGATGTATTTTTTTGTCTCCATTGTGAAATAGTAGCCCGATTTTTCTTTGGTAATTCGATTAATCACTGGAACAGTTATTTTACTCCCATACTAGTTGATATTTTATTTCGTTTTGTTTTGCTTGTTTCAAGAAGAGCCTAAAATGCAACTGTTGTTATGTCCTTGATGGAAGCATTTTTCCCTTTGGAAACTTAAGGAAAATATTGCCCCAAACCTGGTCTGGAATGTATTTCACAACCTCCTTCCAAGAAAATTTGGCATACCTAATGAAATAGCCTAAGCACCATTGTATCATTGCCTCATGAACTGTAATAAGCCTGAGATCTGTTCTGGAAAGCTAGTCACCCACCCACCCTCTAACTGTCAGCTGACTGTCAGAAGCCTAATCATCTCTAATCAGAAAATCTTTTCTTAATTAACTAACATTTCTGTCTTCTATAAATGTCACTAGCAAGAGATAAATCTTTAAATTGGTCTGCTTAGGTCCCTTTTTTTGAACAATCTTGAAATAACATTTTGACAAGTCCACATAATTAAATTGTCAGAATAGGTTTAAATAATAATAATAATAATAATAATAATAATAAAACAATGACAGAAGAGTCCACAATGGCATGGATTTTGTGAAGGTGACATTGGTATGGTAGGTTAAAACATCACTTTCACTTCCACTCCTTGGTTCCTTGACTTTTGAATTATGGCTACAGAAAAAAAGTGTAAAATTTACAATATTTCTTTTGTTTTACATCACATCTCTTTTGTCTTTTTCTAAGGTTTTTGTGTCTCTGACATCAGCCTGCTTCTTACAATCATTGAAAGTTATAGTTTACTTGATAGTATATTTTTCTTTCTTAGTTTTACATAAAATAATTGCACTCTTTACAATCCAGGCCAACTTAAATTTGATGAGCTAGGAAATGACTCACTGCTTAAGATCATAGAATGCATTTTCTAAAACACCCTGTTAACCTCACAAGGTGCTATCTTCCAGAAAGTGCTGTAACTGAGTCTTCAATATGCTGTTTCATTTTCATTATTCTATAAGGAGAGTTCTGTAAGGGGAGACATAGCACAGTTGGAAAATTCCTCAGGTTTCAGCACATTGTTCCATTTATCCTGCCATAGAAAACAAGCCCCATGGTTAGAAATAACATTGTGTGGAACCCTGGTATTGTGAATGAAGCGTTCACTAAGTTCATAGATGTTGATGCTAGCAGAGAACAGACAAAAAAGGCAAATTCAAATTCAGAATGTGTGTCTGTTTCAGGGAGAAAAAATGAATCTGACAGATGTGGGTCAAAGTAGCCATCTTGCCCCCAGATGTTTTCTGGCACCTGTGGGATATGCTGGCATAGTGCAGCATTAGTCTCTGTTTTGGCAAGTGAAACATTTAACAATACTGTTAGCCAGATTAGCCTTGGTGAGGGGAAGCCTGTAAACATGTGCCACCCTGGCCACCATGGGCATTTTGTTCCCAAGCCCCTTAAGCAGGCACTAGGCTGTCTGGGGAGTGAGGCTCCTCACATCCTATACATGTGATTTCTTTTTTCATTTTTCACATTTGTGATTTTATTAAATCGATTGCCTTACAAAACATTATGGATGTCACAATTATTATAACACCAACTTACCAATCTACAGCTAACTGGTGCCATTTGCTGAGCATATTTTGTAAAGGAAGGGAGATGCTAAATCCCCAAGATAGTAGTTTCATTGCAGCCTAGGAGAATAAGGAGATGTTGTTTCTCAGACATTTAAATCTGGCTAATGAAACAGGAAAAGAAATTATCTCCCCCATCTGAAGAGCTGCTTCAGAAGGAATATTCTAGTAAATATAAACTACACTTGTTTATGCTCTCAATAAATGGCATAAGTTGTGACACCCCTTTCTTGGACTTCAGAATTGGAGAATTTTGGTCTTTCAGTTTTAGGTATCAAATGTATGGACATTTCAGCCTTAATGTCTTCACTCTGAAATAACAGTCTACCCCATAATTTATTTTTAAAATTCTAGCACAGTACTTTCAGCCAAACATTTAATACTAAACACACACCACATGCCTTACTGAAAGCTATGTTTTCTATATTTTCCCCCTCAGCAAGTTACAAAATAATTCAGGAAGCTATGGTTAAAGCTATATTTCTGAGTGGTATTGATAAATGCTACATAATTTTTTGATACGTAAAAACTCGTTTCCAATTTAGTGACTCTTTTACTCTGTAATAAGATAGAAATTATGACAAGAGTATTAGGATTTCTCTTATTATGATTTAGTAAAAACTTCTTTTTACTAATTTTAATCCTGGGGCAACAAGATCCAAGTTGTCTTCATTATATTAATAGCTAATTGACAAGGAATTTAAAAGCCAACACTTGTCTCGAATAGCATTTATAGCAACTGAAAGGAAATGAAGTCATGTTACATGTTGAAGGAATTATAGCCAATGAGAAATACACAAGACAGGCCGGGGTCTGTGGCTCATGCCTGTAATCCCAGCACTTTGGGAGACCAAGGCTGTTGGACCACCTGAAGTGAGGAGTTTGAGACCAGCCTGGACAGCATGGCGAAACCCTGTCTCTACTAAAAATACAAAATTAGCCTGGCATGGTGGTGCACACCTGTAATCCCTGCTACTTGGGAGGCTGAGGCGGGAGGATTACTTGAATCCAGGAGGTGGTGGTTGCAGTGAGCCAAGATTGTGCCACTGCACTCCAACCTGGGCAACAGAGTGAGACTCTATCAAAAAAAAAAAAAAAGAAAGAAAGAAAGAAAGAAGAAAGAAAGAAAGAAAGAAGAAAGAAAGAAAGAAAGAAAGAAAGAAAGAAAGAAAGAAAGAAAGACAGAAAGAAAGAGAAAGAAAGAAAGGCACAAGAAAATAAGATGTCACAAAAACTAACTTATATTCTCCATGGTCAAGGGTGACCATTCATGGAGGCCTTATATTCACTTCCCAAAATAATTTGTTTTCTCTTTTTAACTTTCCTTTACTTCGCTTTTTTTTTCTGCATATCATGGGCAACAAATTCTTTGTCTTTTTCATGTCCTCACTGTCCAATAAAATGCATTTATATTGAATAAATGCCTTCCAGAAACCACTGTATGATAAAGTAATTTTTAATATCCTGTAATTTTATCATTTAGTAACCTTTCAAACTGTGTGATCACTTCATAAAAATGCACTCATGACATCTATCCATGAATTTAGTTGATAATGCAAAAATCGTATTTCTCAGTAACTTTACAGGAGCTTCTTTCTTTAATGATAGCTTTATTGATACATAATTTATATTCCATAAAATTTACTCTTTTAAAATATATACTGTGTGATTTTTAGTATACACATTACTATTAGTATACTATTGCAGTAGCCACTTTATCCACCAAGCCTTGCCTTCTGCAAACGTTTCGTTCTGGACGAAAAGTGATAATTCAGGAACTACTTTATCATGACATGCTATGTGTTACCAGTATCCCATTTTCCAATGGTAACTGGTCCTCACTGACTTAAACTCGAACTTGATTAGATAACCAATCCCAGATTTCCATCTAGAAAGGTCCATTGGCTACAATCACTGCCTGCACATGGCGCTGCATATCTGTTATTCAGGTCTCAGTTGTAGGAAACAAGAACCACTTTGCTAATAAAGGAATTAAATATTTAAAGGGAATAAGGCACTTACAAAGTCATTTAGTCTCCTTCGTTGTTGATGGTGGTGGTGGGAAGCTTGTGGTGCACTCAGGTGTGTAAAAATTGAACTTCCTTTCTATTCTCATTAACTGAACTAAATACAGTCTCTCCAAACCTCCATTTTGCTATTAGTGAAACAGAGCTCTTAGTCTTGCTGGTTCATATTAAATAATCTTCACTGAATTTAAAACAGAATTTTAATTCATTTAATTCAAGAGTATTTGCTCCTCTCTTCTCCCTAAGGGAGAAAGTGCTTATATATGATTAGGGCCACAAGGGAAAGTTGGTATCTATTCACAGCCATTTTCTGTCCTGCTTGGCCTTCAGCAAGATATATAATCCATCTTGGCCTTGGATTATCAACATCCATCCCCTCTGCCATCTACTGCACATACCACCCATGGTACTGCCATGCTCTCAATTGCCAGGACAATACAGTTCACTCCACATACTCCTCATCCAAGCTCCAAGGCCTATCCAATGTGGGAGATGAGACTATGCCACCCAAAAACATGCCTCTTTTGCATAAGATTAATATCTTCAGCTCAACAATCTGAAGGCAAAAAAGAAAAAGCAGATACAGGAAAGCTCCCTGCCCTTTCTCCATTTTCCTAAAAGCAGAACATAGATTTACAAAGACAAAGGATACCCCATCCCTTTTTCTACCAGGCAGAAAAAGGTTAACCACTGAAGAAAACTTTAGACCTGTATTGGCCTGGAGATGGCACCAGAAGAATCTACATGAAGAAACTGTATTCCCCAACATTTATCTGCCAGTTGTTTTTCTTCCCACAAGTTGCTATTCCTAAAGACTCAAAGTCCTTTACCTTGGTCTTGTCACTTCCCTAAAAATGTGCCATTCTTTACTGAAGATACTATATAAGCTGGAAATCAAAGCTCCCTCTTTGAAAATTACTCTTTCCCTGGATATCTCCTTGTATACATGAAACATGCATGTTAATAAACTTCTGCTTTTCTCTTATTAATTTGTCTTTAGTTACACAGGGTCATGCCAACTAAGAATTTATGAGGGTTGAGGAAAAAATTAATTTTCCTCCCGGACCCCAGTGCCACCTATACTTTCTCAGCCTTCCTGTGCATCAATTTCAAGGGAACATGGACATAATTTAGATGCTCATCCACACTGCTCTTGGTCCATGAGAGCAGGAGGACATGTTACAGTTTATTAGATAGGCATAAGTGGGGCAGAAGAGGGCTCTCCCACCTATTAGGAATGCCAGATGATGGTTCAGTAGTTATCACCTTGCATCTCTAAAAGTGATAAATTAGCAGCTGGTGCTAGGGAGAGGCTGTTCCCTGATGATCCACACCTATTGCACTGAAGTCATAACTGAATACAGATGACAGGAAGAAGCGACTTCTTGGACATGCACATTAAGAGACACAATGGTGGAGTATGACTTTCCTGAGGCACTCTACTGGAAAAAGGAAGAAAGCCTCAGACGGGCATTCATACAACTTCCTAAACACACTGTACATGCTCACTTCCTGAGGGTAAGAGGGGCACTGGGCATGCAGGCAGCCCACCCTAAGGGAAGAATCATGGGAAGGAATCATGGGAAAGTTTAACCTAAGATGAAGGTTAAACATCTACTTGACCTTGGTGTCTGCTTGAGTTTCTTCCAAGTATACTTTTCTTTCAATTCTTTTCTGCTTTAAGCCTTTTAAATAAACTTACACTCCTGCTCTGAAACTTGCCTTAGTCTCTTTTTCTGCCTTATGTCACTGGGTTGAATTCTTTCTTCTGAGGAGGCAAGAACTGAGATTGCTGAAGACCCATATGGATTCACCGCTGGCAGCTGATACCTTACAATGGTAACGGATAGGGGTGAGAGTCTCTGTCTCTCTCTCTAACTGCCCTTGCATGCATGTTTCCTGCATTATGATTGCAATGTTCTGCCTAAGTTCCCCTTCTCAACAATCCAGATAAGAAGTAGGGCACTCCTGCTCTTCAATTCTCAAATTTATTTGCAGATATAGAATAAACACAACCTCTATTTTGACCTTGGGAGGGACAAAGGCAGGATCCCACTCTCTGTCCACATGGGAACATTCTTACTCTCCTCTTCCAATCTTTAAACCCTTTCCCCTAAACCATAAAGGAGGTTTATTATCTCTTTTCTGTGCTACCAAAGGAGAAGATGTGTGTAGTGAGGAGAGTCAGAAATGGACTCTTCCTCTACTGACTTTCCAGTCCAACATTACATTTTCTTGCTTCGAGCTTTATCTCAGGATAGTCAAAACTTCTATCCTTATAGGAATTTATTTACTTTGGAAAATCAAAATAATTTTTCTTTCTCTTGTAGTGGAAGGCATTCTTTCTGGTATGTTTTTTCGTAAGAATTCATTCAGAATTCTTTCATCTGGGATTGTAGTGCCCTCTCTTTTCAGAGGCAATTGAAAGGCTTTTTTTTTTTTTTTTTTTTTTTTTTAGACAGAGTTGCCCCAGCTGGAGTGCAGTGGCACTATCCCGGCTCACTGCAACCTCTGCCTCCCAGGTTCAAGCGATTCTCCTGCCTCAGCCTCCCAAGTAGCTGGGATGACAGGCTTTCGCCACCACGCCCGGCTAATTTTTTTATTTTTGGTAGAGACGGGATTTCACCACGTTGACCAGGCTGGTCTCAAACTCCTGACCTCAGGTGATCTGCCCGCCTCGGCCTCCCAAAGTACTAGGATTACAGTCGTGAGCCACCATGCCCAGCCTAAAAGGCTAAGGCATTAAGGACCTCAGTGGCTTCAATAGGTAGAGGGGTAGTGGATAAATAAGAAATTGTATCTGTGTGAAAAACTAGTTAAGATCTAAGTTTTATTACTGTCTCCAAATATTCCTCTCATGGACTCTTTTTATGGGATGATAAATATTCTGCATATCCTACCTGGTTTCCTAAAAAGATGAACATATGAAATACGAAGTATATGCACTTAAAATTTCCCCTTAATTTTTTTTTCTTTTTTGAGACAGGGTCTCACTCTGCCACCCAGGTTGGAGTGCAATGCTGCAATCTAGGCTTACTGCAACCTCCGCCTCTCAAGCTCAGATGAGCTTCCCACTCAGCCTCCTAAGTAGCGGGGGACTACAGGCATGTTCTATCACGCCCAGCAAATTTTTTGTAGAGACGGGGTTTCACCATATTGCCCAGGCTGTTCTCGAACTCCTGAGCTCAAGGGATTTGCCCACGTGAGCCTCCCAAAATGCTCAGATTACAGGTGTGAGCCACCATGCCTAGCCTTTCCCCTGAATTATTTATTGCTCTGGTCTACCCTGATCCCATCTACCTCACTTTATTTGAATAATGGGAGTTGGGAGAAAGGCTAGAAGAGTAGCCTTCTGACAACTTCAAAATCAATATGAATGAAGAAAAGACATGATTTTCCTCTTTTCTGGTCGATATGCATTATAGTTTGGATGTTTGTCTCCTCCAAATCTTGTGTTGAAATTTGATCCCCAATGTTGGAGGTGGGGCCTAATGGGAGGTGTTTGGGTCATGGGGGTGGATCCGTTGTGAAGAGATAAATACCCTCCCTGGATGGGGAAGTGAGTGAGTTCCCACTCTTTCAGTTCCCAGGATATCTGGTTGTTAAGAAGATCCTGGCATCTCCGTGATTTCCACATCTGCCAGACCCCCTTCCCCTTCCACCATGAGTGGAAGCAGCCTGAGGCCCTCACCAGATGACTACTCTTCCAGCCAATCAGAATCATGAGCCGAATAACTTTTTCCCCTATAAATTACCCAGTCTCAGGTATTCCTTTATAGCAACACAAATGGACTAATATAGAACCTGAAACTCTAATGAACAGATTGGCAGTGGGGGAAGGATGAAAGATCTCACAACCTTCTTTCAGGTAGTGTGTTGACTCTCTTCCTCTTAAAAAGGAAGGGGGAGGGCAAATCACTATTGTTACCTTACTCCAAATTCCATCAAACATACAATTAATAGAAATGTCTAAAGTTCCTGCAAGTAGATTATCTGTCAGGCAGTAGATTGCCTCCTGGTCTTTTCAGGATCTTCCCAGGAATCTAAGTGTTAAGTTGGGTATGAGGAGGTTGCATTAGATATTGCTTCCCATTTTGCAGACCAGGAATTTTAATAGCAAATTTATTCAGTGTAATTTGTTTCTTGGTGAAGTTAAAATTCTGGAAACAGAACAACAACGTGACCAATCTGAAATAGCATTACCAAGGTAAGTTTTTGTTTTTTTTGTGTGTTTTTTTTTTGTTTTTTTTGGCGGGGTGGGGGGTAAGGAAGGGTTTACTCTAATGGTCTTCTTTTTGCTCTTTAACTGGTAATTATCTAACTCTGTCTTTGCACCTGGAAGTGAAAGAATTCAGCCTTATGTGAGGGAGAATGTCCGCCATGACCCAATTCTCATCCTCCACTGCATAACTCCTGAAAGCGCTGATTGATTTCAAAGAGAGTGCTGTAAAGAGATCCTCTGTGATGTGAAGAGAATTAGAATTGGGCACAAAGGTAGAAGTGTAACTGATGCTAAAAATAGCTCATGCTTTGGAAAGTTGATTAATCCAAAGAAAAGAAGTTATTAAAATGTTCAATTAGAATTTCTGCAGCTTGCAGATTCTATTTTTAATTTCTAAAGCATTACATATGTAAAATGCAGGAGGATGTGAATCTTACTAGGATCAGAAAACAGAGAGGAAAGGGCAAAAGCTTCCTTTAAGCAGCAAACATAGGCAGAATTTGATAGCAGTAGGAGTAATTATTACTGCAGGTGTCCTAGTCTGATATGTCTCTTCATTATTATGACTTTTTTTTTTTTTTTTTTGACAGAGTCTTGCTCTGTCACCCAGGCTGGAGTGCAGTGGCGCAATCTCGGCTCACTGCAAGCTCCACCTCCCAGGTTCACGCCATTCTCCTGCCTCAGCCTCCTGAGTAGATGGAACTACAGGCGCCCACCACCAAGCCTGGCTAAGTTTTTTGTTTTTTTTGTTTTTTTTTTTTTGAGTAGAGACGGGCTTTCACCGTGTTCGCCAGGATGGTCTCGATCTCCTGACCTTGTGATCTGCCCGCCTCGGCCTCCCAAAGTGCTGGGATTACAGGCGTGAGCCACCGCGCCCGGCCGACATTTTTTTTTTTTACAACTTGTATTTCTTTAGAATTCCAGAAATTATTTTAAACATGAATTTTATAAGTTTGATATCCTAGTTTTGAAATAACATGACATTTATTCTTATTATATACGTCTTGAGCACATTAAACAAAGGAGCCATGTAACTCTAAATATTAATCAGTAATATAAAAATCAAATCACCCCTGGAAATAGCACAATCATCTATATACGGTGGCTCAATCTAGAAACCTTAGAGCCCACTTGATTCCTTCTTCTCCCTTATTCCCCACAACCAATCACCAAGTCCAGCAATGTTGCCTCTTTAATAACATTCAAATCAATCTACTTCTCTCCATCCCCATGGTTACAGCCCTAGTCCAATCTATCAAAAGCACTTGCTGAGACTATTCCGATAACCTCCCTACACTTCCTCAAACCTACTTGTGCTCTTCTCCAATCCATTCTCTATTTTAGGGTTACAGTAATGGATCAAATCCACATCTGATTATTTTATCACTCTTCTTAAAAGCTGCTGCTGACTTTTCCCTACTGTTGGGTAGAGTCCAGCATCCTCAATAAGGCTTTAAAGAGTCTGAACTATCCACTCCCCTTCCTAACTCTCCACCCTCATTTGAGTGTCCTTCCCCTTACTCTCTCTGCTCCACCACACTGAACTAGTGATTCCTTGAATTAATAGATACCATCTTCTGAGTGGTTTTTCACATGTTCTTTTTTTTTCTACCTAGAATTTCTGCCTCCCCTCTCTTTGTCTAGATGGCTTCTATTCATTCTTTAGATCTGTTTTAGCATTCAGGAAATCCTCTATCACATGTAAAAGATATATGTCCTATAGATCTTTATAGCATTCAACATACAATAACTCTTCATTTAATTTCTCCTTATCCTTCTATAGTCTATGATAGCAGTGATGTGCTTGTTATTTACTCAGCACATTAGATATAATGCATGGTGAATTATCTAATAGTTATTTACTGGATGAATGATTGCATGAGGTGACATATAGAAACTCAAAGAAGAGGGTCTTTCTGTGTGAAAGAGAATGAAAGGCAGAAAAGCCTCCAGAAGGAGTTACATTTGCGATGGTTCTTGAAAAATAAATAGATATTTTTCAACTCAAAAGAGCTGCTGGATTACTCATAGACCTGGGATTGGCATGAGCAAAGGCACTGATGTGATTGAAGTGTTTGGGAAGTGGGGAGTTTATCATGACTAGAGTAGATAATGGAGGGGGAAGTGATTGTAGTGAGTTAGTGACGCTAATTCAAATGTAGAATGTTAAAGGCTTTTATGCCAGCCTAAGTAGTTCAATTCCAACAGGATAGCAAAATGATCCCAATGATTAATAAAACTACACAGGTGTTAGTGCATCACTATTGAGAGCACCTGATACAGCAGCACATACCTTTCCTTATATTTCTTATTTTTTTTTTAGTCAGTTGGTGTCAAGTGAATTAATTCATTTTCAAACATAAAAGTCTTCATCATAACTCAAATTACATACATTCTATGTTGATTGTAAGATTCTAAGGTTAAAGTTAAGTAATTTTCTAGGAAAGAAAAGCCTTTTTTTTTTCTTTGAGACAAGTTCTCGCTCTGTTGCCCAGGCTGGAGTGCAGTGGCCTGATCATGGTTCACTGCAGCCTCAAACTCCTGGGCTCAAGCGATCCTTCCACCTCAGCCTCTCAAGTAGCTGGGACCAAAGGTGCATGCCACCATGCCTGGCTAAATGTTTTTTGTTTTTGTAGAGAAAGGGGTCTTGCCATGTTGGCCAGGCTGTCCTCGAATTCTTGGCTTCAAGCGATTCTCCCATCTCTGCCTCCCAAAGTGCTGGTATTACAGTCATGAGCCACAAAGCCCAGCCCTATCATTTTTCATTCAAAAAATTTCCAATTTGAGTTTTTTCTTTTCTGAAGATATCCCTTTATCTAGTGGAATTTTCCCATTGAATCTATGAACTGGAAGTGTTTGAAATAAACAGATACAAATGCCAAATGGGAAAGTCATTGATGATGTAAGTGTATTTCAGAAACAATCATATTTTAATACCTCTAAATAGGGGCAAGATTTAAAAGTAACCATGCAAGAAGACAACTCTTTGCTGCCATCTGGTGGCAGCCCTTTTTGCCATCAGACTATCTCTTGAGGTCCCACTTTTAAGTCTCTGTGAAGAAAATAGGCCAGTAAAACCAAGAGTTAAGCAGTTTTGAGAACCCAAGAGAAATTGCTCCATCTGGGATAAGGCTTCTCTGGTCACTACAATTCTTGAAATGCTCAACGGTTCCCCTACTTAACAACTAGGAGGTGGAAATACAGTAGGATTCACAATACGAGGGATGTTAACAAACTCCTTTGACATAAGGCAGGGCTGACTGGGAATCTTGATTGGAAACCCAAAACTCCTTGGAAACTCCCTCTGACCAGAGAGGCTTCTTCTGGTCCATCTTCTCAAATTGCTTCCTTGTATTAACAAAATACGCTCCTTGACTATTCATCAACTCATTAATTTAACAGACGGCTGGGATAATGTAGTAAACAAAGGAGTTATGCAGCTTGCATTGTAGTGAGGGTGACTGACAGACAAATAAATGAGATAGATAAATAAGCAGTTGCAAACTTTAATAATAGTTTTGAAGAGAGCAAGGGTCAGTGGTCATGGAAGGCCTCATGATGATGTAGCACTGCAGTTGAGACCTAAAAAGAAGATAATGAGCTAGTCACGGAAAAAAATTGAGATGAGTGCATTTTAGACAGAAGAGAGAGTGTGTCCGGTCTCAGTGACTTCAAGAATGAAGCTGTGGACCCTCGCAGTGAGTGTTACAGCTCTTAAGGTGGCGCATCTGGAGTTTGTTCCTTCTGATGTTCGGATGTGTTGGGAGTTTCTTCCTTCTGGTGGGTTCGTGGTCTCGCTGGCTCAGGAGTGAAGCTGCGGACCTTCTCAGTGAGTGTTACAGCTCCTAAGGCGGGCGTCTGGAGTTGTTCATTCCTCCCGGTGGGTCCCTGGTCTCCTTGGATTCAGGAGTGAAGCTGCAGACCTTCATGGTGTTACAGCTCATAATGGCAGTGTGGACCCAAAGAGTGAGCAGCAGCAGGATTTATTGCAAAGAGCGAAAGAACAAAGCTTCCACAGTGTGGAAGGGACCCCAACGGGTTGCCACTGCTGGCTAGGGCAGCCTGCTTTTATTCTCTTATCTGGCCCTACCCACATCCTGCTGATTGGTAGAGCCCAGTGGTCTGTTTTGACAGGGTGCTGATTGGTGCCTTTACAATCCCTGAGCTAGACACAAAGGTTCTGCACATCCCCCCCAGATTAGCTAGATACGAAGTGTTGATTGGTGCATTCACAAACTCTGAGCTAGACACAGGGTGCTGATTGGTGTGTTTACAAACCTTGAGCTAGATACAGAGTGCCGATTGGTGTATTTACAATCCCTTAGCTAGACATAAAGGTTCTCCATGTCCCCACCAGACTCAGAAGCCCAGCTGGCTTCACCCAGTGGATCCCTCACCGGGGCTGCAGGTGGAGCTGCCTGCCAGTCCCGCGCGGTGCGCCCGCACTCCTCAGCCCTTGGGTGGTCAATGGGACTGGGCACCATGGAGCAGGGGCCGCGCTCGTCGGGGAAGCTCGGGCGACACAGGAGCCCACGGAGTGGGGAGGAGGCTCAGGCATGGCGCGCTGCAGGTCACGAGCCCTGCCCCGCAAGAAGGCAGCTAAGGCCCAGCGAGAAATTGAGCACAGCAGCTGCTGGCCCAGGTGCTAAGCCCCTCACTGCCCCGGCCGGTGGGGCCGGCCTGCCGCTCCGAGTGCGGGGTCCGCCGAGCCAACGCCCACCCGGAACTCGCGCGCAGCCCCGGTTCCTGCCCGTGCCTCTCTCTCCACACCTCCCCGCAAGCTGAGGGGCCTTGGCCTTGGCCAGCCCAGAAAGGGGCTCCCACAGTGCAGTGGCGGGCGAAGGGCTCCTCAAGTGCCGCCAACGTGCGAGCCCAGGCAGAGGAGGCGCCGAGAGCGAGCAAGGGCTGTGAGGACTGCTAGCACGCTGTCACCTCTCAATAGCATGTGCAAAAGCAATGAGCTAGGATAGAGCTGGAACACTCAGTATCCAGAGATACTAGAGATCTGTAGTGGGAGTATGTCGTGGTGGGAATAGAGAAAATTGCAGCTAGGCCTAGATAATGCAGGGCCTTTAGGCCACTGAAAAGACTTAGGATTTTATTTCGAGTTCAATGAGTAAACATTGGGAAGCTTTAAGCAAAATAATGGCATGATGCAATTTACATTTTCGGTTTAGTCATTGCTGGCAATCAATGTATTGTAAGAGGACAGGAAAGAAAGTTTATAAAAGTGAATTAGGAATTTAACACCATGATCTAGGAAATAGGTGTTGGTACTTTGTACTTTGTGATGACAGGAGACTTTCAGAGAAATGAGTAGATCCAAAAATCTTTTGAAAGTCAAATCAATGGGACTTAGGTGAATAAAGAAAAGGGAAGACATTTTGATCATGAGCAATTGACAGGAGGGTGGTATTGCCACTTTTTGAGATGAAGAAGAATGAAACGGAAAGATGAATTGGTGGAAAATGAAAGATGTCTGTTTTGGAGACTGTGCCTTTGAGACACCCTTGTGAAAATACTGTGTAGGAAGAAGTTTTGAGAGTGCTTCCCAGAAGGAAGATCTGGACTTGAAATGTAAATTTAGTAGTGACCAGCATAAAGATATTACTTTAATCCACAATTATTGAAAATATCACCTAGGGAAGCTATAGCAAAAGAAGACAAGACAAACCAGACTATAAGAATCATCCCGTTAGATGGCCTTAACATGTTTTTTTTTGTTTTTTTCCCTCAGCCCACTAACTGTGACCATATAGTACCCCATTCATATTATTTCTAAAGTCCCCAGCTCTATACCAAAATGTGATCTCTATCCCACTGTAGGGGCCATGGGAAAACGTCCCCTTTGCCCTCTGAAGTTTCACTAAAAATCAACAGACAAAAGACAGATTAATAAGAGAAGAAGCACACAGATGTATTAATGTGCATGGGGTAAAAATCACAGAGTGATTCCCCACTCACACAATGGGGTACAGATACTTATATACCCTTCTTATTAGGAGAAATGGAGATGGGGAAATGTGGATGATTTTAGGTGGGTAGTATGGGATTTTTAGGGAAATTCAATAGACTTAAAAAACATACAGGGGCCTGGGACAAAGTCTGTTGGACCTGCAGAGCAGTAGTTTGCAAATGTGTGCAGGTGTGTTGAGACTTTCATCTTCATTCTGGCCAAAGGAGTTCAGTTAATGAAAACTCAGGAAGGGACCAGAGGTAATTGCTTTCTTCTTTGGTGGGTCCGGACTTTTGCCAGATAAGGGAACTTCAAGAACATTTTTATTCTGCACATTGGGAGAGACAGAGATTGAGAGACAGGAGTTGGAGGAGAGTCAGAGAGATCTTGAGGCTTCTTCAGTTTTCCATGTCAAAGTACCATATTCTGGGGTATCAGTCTCTAAGCCCCAATATCATCTTCCACGTTTGACCTCTAACCTACTCCTGTCTCAGAATCTATCAGTAGCCAGTTTAGGCTTATTGGATTTTTTCTCTGTGAACCCCAAATCCTGGGTATATTGCAGAGAGAGTTTTGAATTTAAGCAAATGTTCCTTCTGGCCTCTGACTGGGATCAGCAGAGCTTAAGACTGCTTCAGCAGATTGAGTGACCTAGAGATTTCAGTGAAGAAATGTGTTATGAAAAAGCTTCATAAAAAATGACATTCCTCAGATTCCAATCTTAGAAGTCTGCTCATTTTAAAAACTAGGAAATTGCTAGTAAAAAGAAAATAAATACATGAAAGTACATGAAAGTAGTACACCCTGTTCATTATTTTACATTGCTTCAATTAATGCCATTATGCTATGTGGGGAGGTTATATATATATATATATATATATATATATATATATATGAAATAGGAGAGAGATATATAAAATAGGATATATATATATATATGTATCCACATAGTATCTATTTATCTCCACATATTATATATCTATATCTATAGATATAGATATTCTATGGATATTTATATTTTCTGAAAATTAATGTCTTACTCTGAAAACAAAGGTAATTTCTACATCTTAAAATTAGAATGACTTGAAAATAGATAGAAAGCTTTTTGTTTTAGAAACCACATAGAAAATAATGTGTGTGTGTGTGTGTGTGTGTGTTTTACATTATATACAGCATACCACGGAAAATGACTTCTCAAATAATATTGTAGGAGTTCACAGCCGGGAGCGGTGGCTCAGGCCTGTAATCCCAGCACTTTGGGAGGCCAAGGTGGGCAGATTACCTGAGGTCAGGTGTTTGAGACCAGCCTGGCCAACAAAGTGAAACCACCCCCGCCCCGTCTCTACTAAAAATACAACAATTAGCCATGTGTGGTGGCACACGCTACCTGTAGTCCCAGCTACTCAGGAGGCTGAGGCATAAGAATTGCTTGAACCCTGGAGGTGGAGGTTGGAGTGAGCCAAGATCACATCACTGTACTCCAGCCTGAGCGACAGAGCGAGACTCTGTCTCAAAAACAAAACAAAACAAAACAAATAATATTGTAGGAGTTCTAAATCATTCACTTGGTACTTTCAATTGGATAATTAATACTGAAAATTGTAAATAAATATTCTTGCTGTTATACTTCAAGTAGGTCTGATTCAACCAACAATAAAAATGAGAAGGTTAAGTTTAAATGTACATGAAGCTTGCAGCCTATAAAATCCTTATAGATGGTGATTTTAAACACAAGAGGAGTTCCTTTCTGGAAATCTTTATTCTCTAGGTGAGATAATGGCACACCTAGTCATAGCCTCCTTTCTTTTCTGACTGAGGCTTATCATGTGAGACCATGAAGCAATTTGAACTAGAGAATAATTTTTTCCATTTTAATCACATTTACATACTTCTTAAATTTCCCTTCTGACCAAATGAGTACTGATGAGTTGGCTTTAAACATTTGTTTCCAAGTAAGTCAACAAATCTTTGCAATTGAGAAGAGCCAAAGTCAGAAGGATGGACATGTTATAATAGAAAAGTTAGGAAAGCAGTTCAAGGATTCTTCCTTCTTGGCTTTGGAAAATGTTAAAGGGCAAGTACTGTTTTGTTTAGTTTAAATTCAAAGCTTGTTTACTATTTCAGGAAAAAAACATTACCAACAGTATATTCCAATTTATGAAAACCTATTGACTTCTTTAGACCACAGTATAAAAGAATGGCATAGAGGCAGGAAGAGTGACACCGCAGCTGGGATTAGGTCATGGAAAGCAGGTGTGTGCAGAGGCCATGGTACTGATGCAGATTTGATTCTAAGATGCACTTCTGCCGGGTTGTGCATCTTGGACATCTCATTTAATCTCTCTTAGACTAGGGACACATCTATTAGGTGGGGGAAATAAAACTTACATGTGGTTTTTGTGAGTAGCAAAGATAATGAATATAAAACATCTGGCATTCCATAAATGGTATTAGACTGATGATTTCCTGGTCAGCATATGTGGGTAAAATGAGCTGAGGATGACTCCAGAGATGTGTCTTTTTACCTTTCAAAGGCAGTCTTTTCATGATTGTGTTTTGTTCTGCAACATAAGAAAGATTTACTACCAATTCACTTTGAACCAGTAAGCCATGACCCAATTTCCTAAAGCCAGATGGCAAAGCCACTTCCGGTGGGGCAGATGGGCCTATTGACTTTCAGTCCCATGGAAACATCAGGCTTGGAAGATACTCTGGGACCCAGTTAATGCCCCAAGAACATAGAGGAATGCCTTCGATATTGGACTGGGTATCAGAGAAGCAAAACACTATCAGAATGACATGTGCAGTTTTAGACACTCACACAGTATTTGGGGCATGAAATAGAGTATTCAGAGGAAGCCAAGTTGCTTTCTTTGGCACATGGGATATTCAACAAGCTTCATCAACTAACCCTCTTTGTGTGAGATTGCAGCAATGCTTCTAAGTACCAGATGTGCTTGCCCTGAAAGGAAATGGAAAAACTGGACACATTCATATTCATTAATTAGGTAATATCAAAGTTAATTTATAAGGGCAGTTATTTGTTGGAGTCACACTGGCAACGAACATTTAAGCGACACATGACTTCAATGGAAAACATTTCAGGAATTATTTTTCCCTTGAAACAAACATAAATTATATTGAAAATAATAATAACCCTTAAATCTAACACTGCAAATAGAAAAAGTATCTATTTATCATGCAATGTGTTTAAATTCCAAGAGAAGTTCTCCCTTAGTAAGAGCCTTGGTATAAAACAGAAGACAAATTTGAGTCAATAAGGAAAAGAACGTTTCAACAGTAAGATATTTCTAAAAATAGAATCAATTTCCATAGAACACAGATATTCCTAACACAATAGAGAGAGAATTAAAGTTAGTTCCCTATGAATGGCTAAACCATATGACTTTTTTTTTGGTAAATTCAACAATTGATTTAGCTCTCTTTATATATAGGTGACACTTCATAGTCCTTATTCTTTTTAAGCATCATAAAAATAGGTATTATTTCCACTTTTTTAGAGTAACAAATAAGAATATTAAAGATAAGATTAGAACCCAGGTCTGAATCCAGGCATGCTTTCCCACCAAATCATGGTTCTCTGATCTCGTTTATGTACAAACTAACACATAACCACTAGGTATATACACCTATTTACAGGTCATTTTTTTAGGCAAATTACAGCTGAGTAATCATTAAATGCAAAATTCAGCATACATTGCATCTACAGTGGACACTGTAATTTGCTAG
Source organism: Homo sapiens (assembly GCF_000001405.40). Lineage (NCBI taxonomy): Eukaryota > Metazoa > Chordata > Mammalia > Primates > Hominidae > Homo > Homo sapiens. Next base: position 40,615,730 of record NC_000012.12, on the reverse strand, counting down.
CCCAGTTTATATTCTTATTTACTATCAAAACCTTGATTTGATTTAGAGTAGAAATATTTACCTCCTCATGTTCCTTAGCAGTTATGAGTGACCAGGTGACTCAATTCTGGCCAAGCTGTATAAATGGAAGCATATTTATTGGGGCCTTGGGGAAAAGTAAACTCACCCCTTCAAAATAATAACTTTCATTTTATATTTTCATTATGAAAGAAATGTATACTATTACAGAAAATACAGATATACAAAAATAAAACTAAATTAATCTACAGTTCTAATTATACAGTAGTATACACTTATCTGCAAGGGGATGTTTCAACAACCGCAGTAGTGCCTAAAATCTCAGATAATACTGAACACTATATATATATATATACTATGTTTTCCCTGTATGTTTATAACTATGATAAAGTTTAGTTTATAAATTAAGAACAGTAAGAGATTAACAATAGTAACTAATAATAAAATAGAATAATTATACTATACCAAGAGTTGTATGAATGTAAAGATCTGTGGGAGAAGTGTGGTTTCTCAGGAGGGGTTACAAAATCACTCATCACTTCCCTTGGCTGGGGGTGGGGGAGTTCCTCACACTCTCTCCCTTTCTTTCTCAAAATATCTTAACATTTTTGGACCATGACTGGCCACAGGTAACTGAAACCACAGAAAGCAAGACTATGGATAAAGGGGAACTACTGTGCAGATAAACACTGGTTGTCTCTTAAGCATAATCTGTTAGTGTTTTCTACATACATGTATACATGTACTCTTTGAAGATAATATTATAGAACCAGGGCTTGGGGTTAGGTCTTCCCTGCCCTATGTACTCTGCTTCAGGAGGCTGAGGTGATTCTGCCACAGACCCCATCATCTGTGATCTGCTGGCATTGGAAGATCCATATTTAAGACTCCAGAACACCTGTGAAGCCAAGAAATGAGGCCAAGATGGCCGATTAGAAGCAGTTGCAGTCTGTAGCACCCACGGAGAGGAATGAAAGGGGCAAGTGAATTGGCACCTTCAACTGAAATATCCAAGTTCTCACACTGGGAGTGACTAGGCAAATAACTCAACCCATGGAGAATGAAGAAAAGCAGGGTAGGGCGATGGCCCACCTGGGTGCATCACAGAGCCAAAGGAACCCCCCACTCCCAGCCAAGGGAATTGCTGAGTGATTGTGCAACTCCTCCTGCAAAACCACACTTCTCCCACAGATCTTTACAACACACAGATCAAGAGATCCCCTTATGAGCCCCTGCCACCAGGGCCTTGGGTTTGATACACAGAGCTGTGTGGAGTCTAGGCAGAGAAGCCACTCAGGCACACACAGAGACACAGGAGTTTTACATACTTCTGCCCTGGGATCCCTGGCAAGGCAGGGGATCCATCTGTACATATCTCTAGGAAGGGGGCTGAGTCCAGGGAGCCAAGCAGAGTCATTCTGCAGGCTCAACTTCCACTGCACCTCACAAGTTAAGACCCACTGACTTTGAATTCCAGCCAGCCAATGGCAACAAGAGTCTGCCTGAGACTGGACTGAATTCCCAGGCGGAGGGGTGGCCACCATGTCTGTGGTTTGGTCAACTCAGCCATTCCAGTTTGCTGGCTTTGGAGAATCCAAACAATCCAGATGCAGAAGGGTCCCCCTCCACACAGCATAGCTGCTTTGCCAGATCATGGCCAGACTCCTTTTTTAAGGGGAAACCAAATCCATTCCTCCTCACTGGCCTGAACCTCTCTGCTGGGGCTTCAGCCACTCCAGCCAGAGTTCTATGAGCAGAGTTCTGATCTCTCCTTGAGATGGAGCTCCTGAGGGAAGGGGTGACTGCCATCTCTGTAGTTCAGCCAACTCAGCCATTCCAGCCTGCTGGTTTTGGAGAATCCAAACATTCCAGATGAGGAAGGGTTCCCCCCATTGCAGCACACCTGGTCTACCAAAAAGCAGCCAGATTGCTTCTTTAAGTGGGTCCCTGATCCTGTTCCTCCTGACTGGATGAGACCTCCCAACAGGGGTCTCCAGCCACCTCTGATAGGCACATTTGAGTTGGCAACAAGTCACTACCCATCTGGATCAGAGCTTCTAGAAAAGGCTGCCATCTTTGCTGTTTTGCAGCCTTTACTGGTGATACCTCCAGGTATGAGAAAAACTGAGGCAACTGGGGCCTGGAGTGGACCCCAGCAAAGTGCAACAGCCCTATGGTAGAGTGGCCTGACTGTTAAAAGAAAAACAAACAAACAGAAAACAAAAACTCAACAAAAATGACCCCACTAAAACTCCATTCAAAGGTCAGCAACCTCAAAGATCAAAGGTAGATAAGCCCATGGATGAGAAAGAATAAATGCAAAAATGCTGAAAACTCAAAAAGCCAGAGTGCTTCTTCACCTCCAAATGACTGCAACACCTCTCTAGCAGGGGCACAGAACTGGGCTGAGTCTGAGATGGCTGAATTAACAGAAGTAGACTTCAGAAGGTGGGTAATAACAAACTTCACTGAGCTGAAAGAGCATTTAGTAACCCAATGCAAAGGGGCTAAGAATCATGATAAAATGATATATAAACTGAGAGCCAGAATAGCCAGTTTAGAGGAACATAACTGACTCTAAAGAGACAGGGAGAATGGAACCAAGTTGGAAAACATGCTTCAGGGTATCATCCAGGAGAACTTTCCTAAACTAGCAAGACAGGCCAACATTCAAATTCAAAGAATGCAGAGAACCCCAGTAAGATACTCTAGAAGATCAACCACAAGACACATAATCGTCAGATTCTCCAAGGTCAAAATGGAAGAAAAAATGTTAAGGACAGCCATAGAGAAAGGCCAGGGAAACCCATCAGACTAACAGTGGACCTCTAATTGGAGACCCTACAAGTCAGAAGAGATTGGGGGCCAATATTCAACATTCTTAAAGAAAGAATTTGAACCCAGAATTTCACATCTGGCCAAACTAAGCTTCCTACACAAAGGAGAAATAAGATCCTTTTCAGACAAGCAAATATTGAGGGAATTTGTCACCACCAGGCCTGCCTTGCAAGAGCCCCTGAAGGAAGTACTTCATATGGAAATGAAAACCATTACCAGCCACTAGAAAAACACACCAAAGTACCCAGACCAGACCAGTGACACTATGAAGCGACCATATAAACAAGTCTGCAAAATAACCAGCTAGTATCATGATGACAGGATAAAATTCACACATAACAATACTAACCTTAAATGTAAATAGGCTAAATGCCCCAATAAAAAGACACAGAATGGCAAGCTGGATAAACAGCCAAGACCCATAGGCATGCTGTGTTCAAGAGATCCATCTTACGTGCAAAGGCATATGTAGGTTCACAATAAAGAAATGGAGGAAAATTTACCAAGCAAATGGAAAACAGAAAAAAGCGGGAATTGCAATGCTATTACATTGATGCAAAAGTAACTGTGGTTTTTGCCATTACTTTTGGTGGCCAAACCATAGTTATTTGCACCAACCTAACAGTTTCTGACAAAACAGGCCTTAAACCAACGAAGATCAAAAAAGACAAAGGGCATTACGTAATGGCAAAGGGTTCAATTCAACGAGAAGAATTGTCTTAAATATATATACACCCAATACAGGAACACCCAGATTCATAAAGCAAGTTCTTAGAGACCCACAAAGAGACTTTGACTCCCATACAATAATAGTGGGAGAATTTAACACCCCACTGACAATATTAGACAGATCACTGAGATATAAAATTAACAAAGATACTCAGGATCTGAACTCTTTGAACTCAGCTCTGGATCAAATAGACCTAACAGATATCTATAGAAGGTTCCAACCAGAAACAACAGAATATATATTCTTCTCATCACTGCATGGCACTTACTCTAAAATTGGTTACATAATCAGAAGTAAAACACTTCTCAGCAAATGCAAAAGAACTGAAATTGTAACAGTCTCTGAGACCACAGCACAATCAAATTAGAACTCAAGATTAAGAAATTTACAGAAAACCACATAATTACATGGAAATTGAACAACCTGCTCCTGAATGACTCTTTGGTAAATAATGAAATTAAGGCAGAAATCAAGAAGTTTTTTGAAACTAATCAGAACAAACAGACAATTACTAGAACCTCTGGGATACAGGTAAAGCAGTGTTAAGGGAGAAATTTATAGCACTAAATGCCACATAAAAAAGCTAGAAATAGCTCAAGTTAATAACCCAACATCACAATCAAAAGAATGAGAGAACCAAGAGCAAACAAACCCCAAAGCTAGCAGAAGACAAAAAATCACCAAGATCAGAGCTGAACTGAAGGAGATAGAGACCCAAAAAAACCGTCAAAAAATCAATGAATCCAGGAGCTGGTTATTTGAAAAAACAAATAAAATAGACCGCTAACTAGACGAATAAAGAAAGAAAGAGAAAAGAATAAAATAAACACAATCAGATATAATGGGGATTTCACCACAGACCCCAAAGAAATACAAACAACCATCAGAGAATACTATAAACACCTTTATGCACATAAATCAGAAAATCTAGAAAAAATGGATAAATTCTTGGACACATACACCTTGCCAAGACTGAACTAAGAAGAAATTGAATCCCTGAATAGACCAATAATGAGTTCTGAAATTGAGGCAGTAATAAATAGCCTACTAAACAAACAAACAAACAAAAGAAGCCCAGGACCAGATGGATTATTCACAGCTGAATTCTACCAGAGGCACAAAGAAAAGCTAGTACCATTTCTACTGAAACTATTTCAAAAAGTTGAAAAGGAAGGACTCCTCCCTAACTCATTATTTTAGGCCAGAATCATCCTGATACCAAAATCTGCCAGAGGTACAACAATAACAAAAAAACTTCAAGCCAATATCCCTCATTATCATCAATGCAAAAATCCTCAGTAAAATACTGGCAAACTGAATCCAGCAGCACATCAAAAAACTTATCCACCACAATCATGGCTTCATTCCTGGGATGCAAGGTTAGTTCCACATATGCAAATAAAAAATGTGATTCATTACATAAACAGAACTAAAGACAAAAACCACATGATTATCTCAATAGACACAGAAAAGGCCTTTGATAAAATTCAACATCCCTTCATGTTAAAAATGCTTAATAAACTAGGTAGTGAAGGAACATACCTCAAAATAATAGGAGCCATATATGACAAACCCACAGCCAATATCATACTGAATGAGCAAAAGCTGGAAGCACTCCTCTTGAAAACCAGCACAAGATAAGAATGCACTCTCTCACCACTCCTATTCAACATAGTATTGGAAATTCTGGCCAGGGCAATCAGGCAAGAGAAAGAAATAAGGGGTATTCAAATAGGAGGAGAGAAAGTCAAATTATTTTTATTTGCAAATGACGTGATCCTATATCTAGAAAACCACATAGTCTCAGCCCAAAAGCTTCTTAAGCTGATAAGCAATTTCAGCAAAGTCTCAGGATACAAAATCAATGTGAAAAAATCACTAGCATTCCTACACACCAACAATAGACAAGATGAGAGCCAAATCATGAATGAACTCCCATTCACAATTGCTACAAAAAGACTAAAGTACCTAGGAATACAGCTAACAAGTGAAATGAAGGACCTCTTCAAGGAGAACTACAAACCACTGCTCAAGGAAATCAGAAAGGATACAAACAAATGGAAAAACATTCCATGCTCATGGATAGGAAGAGTCAATACTGTGAAAATGGCCATACTGCCCAAAGTAATTTATAGATTCAATGCTATTCCCATTAAACTACCATTGACATTATTAATGGAATTAGAAAAAAATATTTTAAAATTCCTATGGAAGGAGAAAAGAGCCTGGATAGCCAAGACAATCCTAAGCAGAAAGAACAAAGTTGGAGTCATCATGCTACCTGACTTCAAACTATACTACAAGGCTGCAGTAACCAAAACAGCATGGTACTGGTACAAGAACAGGCACATAGACCAAGGGAACAGATTAGATAATTCAGTAATAAGACTGCACACCTACAACCGTCTGATATTTGGGAAATTTGACAAAAACAAGCCATGGGGAAAGGATACCCTATTTAATAAATGGTACTGGGAAAACTGGCTAGACTTATGCAGAAGATTGAATCTGGACCCATTCCTTACACCATATACACAAATTAACTCAAGATGGGTTAAAGACTTAAATGTAAGATGAAAAACTATAAAAATCCTAGAAGAAAATCTAGGCAATACCATCCAGGACATAGGCACAGGCAAAGATTTCATAAAGAAAATGCCAAAAGCAATTGCAGCAAAAGCAAAAATGGACAAATGAAATATTAAACTAATGAGCTTCTGCACAGCAAAAGAAATTATCATCAGTGTGAACAGACAACCTACAGAATGTGAGAAAATGTTTACAATCTATCCATCTGACAAAGGTTTAATATCTAAAGTCTGCAAGGGATTTAAATTTACAAGAAAGAAGCAAACATCCCCATTAAAAAGTGGGCAAAGGATAGGAACAAACAATTCCCCAAAGAAAACATACATGTGGCCAACAAACATATGAAAAAAAGCAGCTCTACATCATTGATAATTAGAGACATGCTAATCGAAACCACAACGAGATACCATCTCATGCCAGTCAGAATGACTACTACTAAAAAGTCAAAAAACAACAGATGCTGGCAAGGTTTTAGAGAAAAAGGAATGCTTTTACATTGCTGGTGGGAGTATAAATTAGTTTAACCATGGTGGAAGACAGTGTGGTCATTCCTTAAATACCTAGAGGCAGAAATACCATTTGACCCAGCAATCTCATTACTGGGTATTTACCCAAAGGAATATAAATTATTCTATTATAAAAATATATGCACATGTATGTTCATTGCAATATTATTCACAATAGTAAAGACATGAAATCGACCCAAATGCCCATCAACGATAGTCTGGATAAAGAAAATGTGGTACGTATACACCATGGAATACTATGCAGCCATAAAAAGGAATGAGATTATATCCTTTGCAAGGACATGGTTGGAGTTGGAAGCCATTATCCTCAGCAAACTGACACAGAAACAGAAAACCAAACACCACATGCTCTCACTTATAAGTGGGAGCTGAATGAGGAGAGCGCATGGACACTTTGGGGGTGGGAACAACACACACTGGGACCTGTTGGAGGGTGGGGGGTGGGAGGAGGGAGAGCATCAGGAAGAATAGCTAATGGATGCCAGGCTTAATACTTAGATGACGGGATAATCTGTGCAGCAAACCACCATGGTACACATTTACCTATGCAACAAACCTGCACATCTTGCACATGTACACCTGAACTTAAAAGTTGAAGAAAAAAAAAGAAATATGTCTTTATTATAAAAAAGAGTGCAAAGAGCATATACTTCTCACTTACTTTTTTCAGCTAATATATTGTAAAAGTTTTTATAGCATTAACAATTCTTGTACAAATTTTCATTAATGGCTTCAAAATATGCCTTTGTGTGATTATAGGCAGTTCTGACTTACGATGAGTCTCATGTTAAGAGTAGGAAAGCTGGAAGCTGAAAGGCCCTCGGTCTTTGATAACTGCCTTCAACTATTGTACCAATCATGGACTACTGACTTCTGGGATTTTTTTTTTTTTACATGAGAAAAATACACCCCTAATCTAGGATGTTATCAGCTATCAGTACATGATGCTGAGCTCTACCTCTAGGTTGAACAGGAAATAAATTGTTGAGGCTCACAAGAAGGAGTTATTGATGCTTTATTAAAGCAGAAAGTTGGTTTGTTTATATGTTGCAAACAACTCAGTAGATGGGATAAAGCAAATAGAAATTACAGTGTTATTTTATATATAGCAGCTAGAAGACACCCTCAGTGCTTGATTTGGCAATTAATTTTGCTAAAATGTGGTCTGGTATACTTCTTGAGCAAATTTCTTATTCCTTTTAATAAAAATAGGCCAGTGAAAATCATAGATTTCAAAAATAATGTTTCGGTGTATATTCTAGGAATAAGTTTAGACCAAAGCATCTCATCAATATCAATAACATGAACAATTATTAAATATTATCAATAAGAAAAGGTTACATTCAGTTTCACAGACTGTTGACAAAAGTAAGGAAAGGTAAAAATCAGTTTAAAAAAGTCTTATTTGTAAAACTTCAACACGGCCTCCAGTTTTCCAACAGCATGTAGAGTTTGCTCCAATAGCAAGAACAAAGTGGAAAAAAAAATCCAGAATCTAAAGTCATTAGAATGACATTATAGTTGTGGTGCGCTAGATGGGAAGAACAAAAATAAGGAAGGTAAGCAGATAGTGACTAGATTAACTAACAGGAAATAAATTCACTGAAGTATAATATATATGCAATAAAATTTGCTAATTTTAAGTGTACAGTTAAATCATTTTTAGTAAATTTACAGAGTTGTACCATCATAACCACAACCCAAAAAGATCCTTCCTGGTCATTTGCAGTCACTTTCTGTATTAGTTTTCTATTGACTATAACAAATTACCACATACTTTAATACAACACACATTTATTGTCTAATAGTTCTGAAGGTCAGAAGTCCAAAATGAGTCTTATATGACTAAAATCAAGGTGTTGACAGAGTTGCATCCGTTATGGAAGCTCTAAGGGAGAATCTGTTCCCTTGCTACTGGCTCTTACAGGGATGATTGGTTCTCTTGCCTTTTTCTAGTTTCTAGAGGCTGTCAGCATTCCTTTGCTCTTGGCCTCTTCCTCCATCTTCAAAGTCAGCAGTGCAACATCTGCAAATCTCTTTCTCTAAGTCTGACATTCCTGTTTCCTTCTTAAAAGCACCCTTGCGATTACATTGGGCCCGCCTGGATAATCCAGAATAATTTCTTCACCTCAAAATTATTAACTTAATGACATCATTAAAGTCCCTTATGCCATGTAAGGTAACAGGCACAAGTTTTGAGTTTTAGGACGTGCACATCTTTGGGGCCATTATTCAACTACCATATTTCCACACTGAGTCCCAAGCAACCACTAATCTACTTTCCATTTCTATAGATTTGCTTTTTCTGAATATTTAATATAAATAATGGAAATATAAATAATAGAAATATAAATAATATAAATAATGGAAACAAATAAAAATCTGTAGCCTTTGTGTCTGGCTTCTTTCACTTACTGTAATGTTTTAAAGGTAATTTATGCGCAGCATTTCCCCCTTTTATTGCCGAATAGTATTCCATTGAATGGATACACCATGTTTGTTTTATCTGCTCACCAGTTGATGGATATTTGGATTGTTTCCACAGTTTGGCTATTATGAATATGCTGCTATGATCATTTGCACTGAATGATCGTGTCCACTTTGTGTGGACATATGCATTCATTTCCATTAGGTAGGTATCAGGAGTAGAATTGCTGGGTCATATGGTAAATATATGTTTAACTTGCTATGAAACTGCCAAATTGTTGTACAAAGTATTTGCACTTTGATTTCCATTAGGAAGGTACTTAGGAGAATTACTGGATCATTTGGTAAATTTATGTTTAACTTGTTAAGAAACTGCCAAATTGTTTTAGAGTATCTGTACCATGTTATATTTCTACTAGCAATGGATGAGGGTTCCAGTTTCTCTACATTTTCACTGATACTTATTGTTGTTCTTTATGATTATCAGCATTCGAGTGAATATAAAGTGATATCTCATTGTGGTTTTAACTCAGACGTTACCCTACTGATGCACTATGCTGAGCATTATTTCATGTGCTTATTCATAAATCTTTGGTGAGATGTCTATTTAAATCTTTTGACCATTTTTTAATTGGATTATTTATCTTCTTGAGTTGCAAAAGTTCTTTATGTGTTCTGCTTACAAGTTCTTTATCAGATATATGATTTGCAAATGTTTTATCGCTTTCTATGGCTTTACTTTTTACTTACTGTGGTGTCTTTTGAATCACAAAGTTTTTAATTTCACATTTTTAAAAAAACATTTGGACTTGGTGTCACACTTAAGAAAATTTGGCCTAACCCAGTATCAATAAGATTTACTTCTATGTCTTCTTCTAAATGTTTAACTTATACAGTTAGGTATATGGCCAATTTTTAGTTAATTTTGTTGTAGGGTGTGATGTAAGGGTCTAAATTCATCTTTTTCATATGGCTAGCCAATTTTCTCAGCACTCGGTTTAAAAGACTATTCTTTTCCCATTGAATTGGCTTAACACCTTTATCTGAATTCAACAGGCCAGACACATAAGGGTTTATCTCTATCTCTAGACTCTCAATTCTCTTTCATTGATCTGTGTATCTAGCTTTACCACACTTTCTTGATTACTTTAGCCTTGTAGTAATTATTAAAATTGAGTAGTTTTCTAACTTTGTTCTGTTTCAGGAATTTTTCACTATTCCATATATATTTTAAGGTCAGCTTGTCAATTTCAGCAAAAAAAAGTTAACTGGGATTTTGATAGACTTCACACTGCACTTATGGATCAATTTTGGAAGAATTACTATCTTTATAATGTTCAGTCTTCCAATCCATGAAAATGAACTACCACTTCATTTACTTAGATATTCTTTAATATTTTTCAGCAATGTTGTGTTGTTCTTTTTTTTAACACTAGTGAAGTGTTTCAGCAATATTTTGCAGCTCAAATATGTTGTATTTATAAAAGTAATATAAAATGCTCCAGGAAATTTAATTAATTAAATTAGTAAATGAGACTACTTGCCTAAGGGAAATTATTCTGTTCCATTTAAGTTAATTAAACAATAATCCAAGAAAAATTAAAGGGAGTTATCATTTTGCTAGATTTTTTTAATACCATAATGAGATTTGTAAGTAGAAATTGAAGCTATTAAGAAAATTAGGCCATTTTAATTTTTAACTTTAATAAATTGAATATTAGTTTAAACCCTGATAACTTTAAATAGTCCTTTCTATGAACAAAAACTCTGTTTGAATATTAGAAACAACAACAGCTCACAATGATCCTGTTAAAACAATTTCTTTTTGGCCTGTCTTTTGAAAGCATTATTTAGGTATTTTCGTATTTTTGTGTAACACCTTCTGTTGGCAGAAAAGTAACTTAGGTATATATCACCACCTAGAAATATTAAAACTGATACAATATTGACAAAGAGGAATTATAAGAGCACACAGAGAATCCCATTTTGCATGGCTTACTGATGTCTTTTTACCACTCTGGCTTCACATTCTCCACTAATTTTCTTCGTAATTTATATTCAGTCACACCCCTTAGATGCTTAGTAACATCTTGATGTTAGGAGACTTCTCCCATGTGTACCCTTCTGCTTTCTCAGGAATAACTTTTGTTAAGCCCTCATATTTTATCATACCTAATAAAAGTGTCCAAAAAGAGAAAGACTCTAACCATGGCAAGGGTCAGTGACCTGCCTAAGGCTGTTCAGAAAACCAGTGGCAGCACTCTCTTTGATAACTATTCCTTTCATAGCAGAGATGTTCCTGGCAAAACTAATTTTATAAACATACCATGTGTGGAAAATGATGTGCTATCCTCGTTATGTTTAAGATTGGGCAGAGGGTGATCAATATTGAGAAATGGTAATAAAATGCTCAAAAAGAAGCGACTTTGTAATACAATGTAATACAATGTGGGGTTATAGGAAATTCTAAGCTAATGTCTTACTGTTAGAAGTAAGAATTTAGTTGTGAATTTTAAAATCACTAGTGTGTACCATGGGAATATGGGAATAGGCAGATATAAAAATCTTCAGTATTGTACTATTATGGGAAATGTAATGTACACTAGGTGCTTATACTATTTAAAGCACTGGATCAGACTTATACTCTTTTCTTAAATTAAAAGTGTTTTAATTGTGCCAGTTCTCACTGCTGCCACAATTCCTCCAGGAATCCTGGAAGTGCATTTGAGTGATGATTTTCATTTCACCATTTGCCCTGCTTAGCTTTTCCTGCTAAGAAATTCACAGCATTCTCAAATCCCTAAAATTAAATGCATCACTTAAGTTATTTATTGGACTTTCTAATCCATTCAGTGTTTCCTTTTTTGGCTGAGATGTGTATCTGTATGACAGTGATAACAAACTGTAAGCATCTGGGGAAATAGGGTCATGTTTATGATTATTTGCTTAGGATACAAAACTCAGACATGAATACTCAATAATTAGAATTAAAGAAACAGAATATCTCACAATTTAACTTTAACATCCATCTATAATTAATGGATTATATACATACACACATATATTATAAATATATGTATATCCATATATACTTAATGAATAATATTTTTAGAAGAATAGTATTTGACATAATTTGACAAAGCATTTTGCCAACTATAAACTCTACTTTTCTAGAATTTAGTTTGGTGGCATAATTATTAGTGTAATTTCCAAGTCAAAATTGATTGTTTTAAAAGCAAGACATTTACTTTTCTGACATGGCATATGAAGAGGCAGTAAGGGGTAGGGTCAACAGGGTAGGAGTAGGAATGGGAGTGGACTCTCTATTCTCACAGAAACAATCATACCATATCACAATTATTATTTTACCTACTTTTCCTCCCATATTGTCAGCTCTAGTGTATTATTTATCTTAAATTTTTGTCACACATCAGAAAATTGGCGTATATATTACCCTCTCAATAACTGTAGAATAAAAATGAAATGAAATTTTAGAACTTTCTCTATTGTGAGCAAACTGCATGGCTTTAGATGAATCACTTAATCTATCCTTACCTGAAAATTACCAGAAAAATTGATAAAATGTTCCCTAAGTTCCCTTTCAACCCAATAATTCTATAAATGCAATATATATATATATATATATATATATATATATATATACATTCCATGCCCTATCACAGACATCTTCATGATGTTATTACTATTTTTATTTCACTAGAGTTTTAACTCTTATCAGATTATGCCATAGATAACATTAAATCAGCTGTCTAACCCTGAAACTAATTTGCTTTGTAATATCAGGCAAGACCATTTTATGTCTAGGTTTTCAGGAATGATTGCCTGTATGATATGGTTGGTGATGCCTACCACTTTTCTTTAATGTAATAACGTTTGTTAAAAGCTCTTTGAAGACCAGCAATGAACACTATTATGGGCCGCAGAAAATTAGTAGTATAAAAGCTCTTCATAGAGCTATTTCTAAAATAACCATGGCTGAATAATCAAAACGGTTTTGAAAGAAAAAGGGAAAGATAAAAGACACATAAAAACACGTTTTGTTCCCTGTTTTGATGTGAGCAATTTTAATGAAATTGTTGCTACTATTTTACTCTTAGGCTATCCAGGGAAATTCATAATTACATAAAACAACACTTCATTTATAATAGAAACTCCCTAATTGAATTTTAAATTAAAAATTCCTGAATTAAGTCAGATATTGAGATGAATAAAAAATATCCCCCCGATTTAGAGAAATCTGGCTTACCCAGGCTGCCTCTAATCTGGTCCCCACCCTCTCCTTAATTCTATCATCTTGTACATTAAACATGTTTCTTATGTGCAAGTACCCAGGGGCTGTTCACTGAGACCACCTTGCTATCCCAACTCAACAGTAAGTAATCAAATAAATCACTAGCTGTGGAGGGCCTTGAAACACAACCATTGATCACTGCAGGAGAGCCTCGTTACTGAAGGAATTGTATGTTTAAGGACCACTAGAGTTAAAAATTAGTTATTTAGGAAGAAGTAGAGATTTCTTTCTTTAACTCTATGTACTATACTCTTTTTTTTCTAAAAGTTACCAATAAGCTAAAGACCAAGATGTAAAGAAATGATCTATGTAACATGCTAAGAGGATGGGCTCTGAAATCACATGAATTTAAATCCCAACTCTGCCACTTCCCAGCTGAATGACCTTAAGCAAGCCAGTTAACATCACATTTCCTCAGTTTTCTTATCTGCAAAATGGGGATGCTAACTGTATCTTACTTCACAGTGTTGTTTTGAGAATTAGGTGAGCTAATATAATATCATTACAACAGTGTTTGGCAGAGAGTAACTGCTCAATAAATAAACATCGTTATTATTGTCATTATTATTGATAAAAAGAGCTTAGAAGATGTCACTGGAAATAGAAACAGGAACTAATATAAAATTTCAAAATATATAAGCTGAGAAATGAATTGGATATGACTTAAACGCTTAGCACAATTTGAGACTGGTGAAAATCGGCAATATCTGAAGGATAGGTATTCCTGCTTTGGAGATACATGTGCAAACCAGATTTTAGGTCCTCTACAGTAATGCACTTTTTAAACAAAGCAGATTAATTTTAATGATATTCTAATGTCTCACATTCTCTTGCCAAAAATAGGAATAATATAGTGGCAGAGAGTTCAATCTGGGATAACAGAAATTAGAGCAAGAGTTACAGATTTCAAGAGTATTTTTTCTTCTTCATGTAATTCTAAAAACTTTGACACATCTTTAATGCTGATTTTTAGAATATGTTGAACCCAAAAAGCCATCTCAGCTATGTGAATATATATTATTTCCATTTTGAATCTATGTTTCCTAAAGAAGGAAGCTTTAGGTTCCTAAAGAAACATAGATTCAAAATGGAAAAGTATATATTCACATAGCTGAGATAACTTTTAAACCATCCAAAAGTATTACCTGTCTACCTATACTATAAAAAATTGCTATACCTGGAATCCAGCAATGCAATTTGAGGTTACATGATAAAAAAAAACCCAAACATCCATCTAAGATCATCCAGAGTGAGTGGACCAAACCTAATTTTATAATATTTTATTTTGCTTTGCTTTCTTTTACAACTCTCTGAATGACTTGGGAGTAGAAATCGTGTATTCTAATTTGCCATCGTATGTGCAGCAGATATTTTCTAGACAGTATAGCCTTCTTCCATCAGTGAGAAGTAGTTGGCCATTACCAATAAACTGGCATGTCAACAGCTACCATAAGATACATTACACTTAAGTGTAAGATCTGAAACTGTAAAACTACTATTGGAAAACATAAGTAAAATGCTTCTTAACATGGGTATGGTCAATGATTTTTTTAATACGACCTCAAAAGTGCAGGAAACAAAAGCAAAAATTGATGGACTGCATCAAACTAAAAAGCTCCTGTTCAGCCAAGGAAACCATCAACAGAGTAAAGAGACAATCTATGGAGTGGGAGAAAACATTTGCAAATCATACATGTAATAAGGGGTTAATATTCAAAATATATATGAAACTCAAACAACACTATAGCAATAATAAGAATAATAACCTAATTAAAAATATGGGCAAAGGACCAGAATAAACACTTCTCAAAAGAAGACACACAAATGCCCAATAGGTATATGAGAAAATGCTCAAAGTCATTTATCATCAGGGAAATGCAAATTATAATCACAATGAGATAGCACCTCATACCTGGGTAGAGTAATTTTGTCTAAAAGACAAAAGATAAGTATTCATGAAGATGTGGAGAAAAGGGAACTCTCGCACACTGCTGGCGGGAATGCAATTTGGTACAGCCATTATGGAAAACAATGTGGAGGTTCCTCAAACTATTTAAAATAGAACTACCATATGATCCAGTAGTTCCACCAATTCTATTTCTGGGTATATATCCAAAGGAATTGAATTCAGGATCTTGAAGAGGTATCTGCATTTCCATGTTCACTGCAGCACTATTCACAATAGTCAAGCTATGGAAACAACCTAAATGTCCACCCATAGATGAATGAATAAACAAATTATAGTACATACGTACAATGGAATATTATTCAGCCTTAAAAAAGGAAATTCTGTTATTTGTAACAACACGGATGAACCTGGAGGACATTACACTAAGTGAAATAAGCCAGGTACAGAAGGTCAAATAGTGCATGATTTCACTTATATGTGGAATCTAAAAGTCAAACTTATAGAAGCAGAGAGTAAAATGGTCGTTACCAGGGGCTGGGGGGTTGATGGGCAGGGGAGATGAGGAGATGTTGATCAAAGGGTACAATGGTTTAGTTATATAGGATGAATAAGTTCTAGAGATGTATTGTATAGGACGGTACCTACAGCTAATAATAATGTAATTTATAATTGAAAATAGCTGAGAGTAGATCTTAAAGGTTATCACCACCAAAAATTAAGTATATAAAGCAATAGATATGTTAATTAACTTGATTTAATCATTTTACAATGTATGCACATATCAAAACATCATGTTGTACACCATAAATATATGCAATTTTTATTCATCAATTATATCTTAATAAAGTGGGGACAGGGAAGACACATAACAATAATTTTCAAGTTTTAAATTAACTTGTTAAACTTACTTGCCCCCACCCCCCAAAATAAGGAGAATTAAAAGGGAGAATTAAGGTGTTTAAAATTTTGTCATAGTTAATATTCCTACTAACCTGTATTCTCATAATTCTCTGGGGATACTTTCTTCAAATGAGATGATTTTAATAAAGCAAATGACATCTTATCAGTAAAAGTGATATTTTTATGAATATTTATATAATTTCCAGTGGAACCCTCTGTTCATTTTAGGAGATCTAATGGCCCTTATGACTAATTAATTCCTTTCTCAGAAACTTCCTTCTATTTAAAAAATCAGTTTACTCTAATGGACTGAATTAAAATTATTTTTTAATCTCTTCGAGGGGATGTGACAAAATTTTACATTTTAGAAATAATTAGCCTCAGATTTTAGTATTTATTTAACCTTTAAACAATTTTTCAGCTTTTGTCATATTTGACAAGTTTGCTTCTATTAACATTTCTTTAAATAAAATCTGATAAGTCCATTGGAAATTCCAGAAATGGAATTTGGGGGCCAGTGGTGGGAGAGTCTGTAAGGAAAAGTCAGACGTACTATGCGGTTTTTAGTTATTCTTCGGAAGAGTGAGATAAGCAAGTTGATATCTCAATTTATTACTAATATTGTATTAGTACCTACTGATATAAATATTGGTTCTTAATGTAGTGATATTTAGAGAAACCATGATCAAGGAGCCTTTCAGATATTGGATTAGCAGAAATATTCAGGGCATATGGTGTGAAGACTCATGGTGGAGACTCGGGGCTTCCTCCTTTCTCACAAGGCACTTGTAGGCCCTGTTTCTGCACTTGTTGGAATGCCCCAGGGATCCAGCCTCCAGGATCCAACCCTACCCTGGCTAGACTCAATCCTATAGGTAAACTCACCAAGTACCATGGTTTTAAGATTACCTAGGGTTCAGAAATGACTCCCCAGTGTGTATTTATAATACAAACAATTCCTTGAACTTCAGACTCAGTTGCCCAGCCCTCTCTATGAGATCTCTATTTGGCTATTCAATAAATATCTTGAAGTTAATATATGCAAAACTCTGCCCCCAAACTCCTCTCCCAGTGTTTCCCATCTCAGAAAATGGTCGCCTTTCAATTATTTAGAACCAAAACCTTGGAGTCATCACTATGTCTTTTCTATCTCATCCTGTCCATATCTCACTTCCTCACTGCTACTGCCACCGCCCTCACCAACATCATCTTTTGCCTGAACTACTAAAATACCCAAATGATCCATCTCCCTACTTTCTCTTTTGTAGTCCTCACACTACCATTCATACTACAAGGGTTACTAGTGAACCCTGTAACATTTCAATCTGGTCATGTCAATCTCCCACTTGAGACTTAGAAAAAACTCCAATGTCCTCCCCATGGCCTTCAAAGTCCTCTACAACCTGACCCTTGCCTCCTTTCCATACCTTATTTCCAATCATTTTCCTCTCATCCACTCCTCTAGCAACCCTACCCACTTGGGAAAATGTCAACTGTACTCCCAACTCAGTGCCTTTGAACTCAAGTTTTCATTGCCTGGAATACTTCTTCCCCAGGTATTTAAAAGGCATGACTTCTCGTTCTTTTCATGTCTAAAGTCCATAATCGCTTTCTCAGAGAGCCTTCCTCAAAAACTCAATCTAGGATAGTCTTTTTCTGCCTCGTCCCAATTCTGTCTATCCCTTTCCCTGCATTTTTTTGTTGCTTGTATCATAGCATAATAGTATATTATAGTAGTTTGCTTAACTAAAAGCAGTCTCGCTCATCATAATATAAGCTCCATGGGGGCACAGACTTTTTTTTTAAAAAAAACTACTATTTCATTAATACTCAGAACAGTGCCTCCTGCATAGTGAGCACTCAATAAATATTTGTTGAAGGAATCAGTGAAGTTCCTCAGAACCCACACTTCTAATACAATAATCTTAACACATAACAGATGAAGTGAACCATTCCAAACCACCTTACCTATGAGATCCCAGGAACATGTATCATAAAGAACTGTGCTGCATACCCAAATTCCAATGAAGGTACATATTCAAAGTCTCACTTTGGCGTATATAGCAACATTGACATATCCAAAGAGCAGAGCTGACACAGGATCAGCAGATCACACGGTACCTACAAAAGGAAGAACAGATACAAAATGTGGTCAGCAGCTAAAGCAGTCACTTTTCAGTGAAGGAAACGTGGGTCCTGGTTTCAAGTTTCACAATTGCATTGGCTGGGTTATTTTATGGTGGAAAATACTGTTTCAAGACACCTCAATTCCTTTGTTTTGGTACAATACTCCCCAAATAGTGGTTACATTATGGGTTCCCATGAAGCCTGTTTATGATGAGAGACTGATAATCTTGTGAAATAATCTTAATGAAATTTTCTCAACAGTTGATCATTTTTGATTCCATTAGTCAAAATCATACTGTGTTTTCAGAATCTGTCACATGAGGACAATGAAGGACCCATCTGAAAAGGCCCCAATGGGACCAACATGTGTAAATAATCACAACACTGACTATGGTGTATGTGCCATATTCTCATTATTGGGATTTGACACAGAATTATAAGAAAGTGCAAATCCATTAATAAAATGTTTATTTGATTTTAATAGTCTACCTTATTCACGTCCATGTTTCTCTTTTTGTTGATGACCTGGCACCTGAAATGTTGGACTATTACTGGAGTTCTAGGGAGCTAGGCTGGGGCTGGAATGCCTGGGTATGGATGTACGGTCTGCAGCAGGTGAATCTAAGGATGTCCTGAGAAAGGGCTTTCAAGGGAATAAAGAAAATTGCGTACTGGGCCTGAATACAAAGTGACTATGAGGAGGGTACAGGGTAATGAGAAAAAAACAAAAATCCACGCAAGAATGTTCAGAGAGGAGGCTAGAGGCAAAACATAGACATGCTTCTTGGATTGCAAGGGAAAATCTGCTAATTTCTTTTATGGGGTGCTGTTCATCTTGTCCATGCATAATAAGGGGACAGTTAAGGGCACTGATGTGGCTTCTTATATCTCCTCCTAAAGATATAATAGTTTAGCCTATGGAATTTTGAAACCAAGATCAGCCTCAACAGGCTTGTATTAATCAATCATGGGAGAGCAGATATCTCTTTGAGCTACTGGTTTCATTTCCTTTGGATATATGACCGTTAGTGGAATTTATGCCCAGTAGTGGATTATATGATGGTTCTACTTTTTTCTTTTTTGAGGAATCTCTGTACTTTTTTCCAGAATGGCTATACCAATTTACATCCCTACCAACAAAGTATAATAATTCCCCTTTCTCCACATCCTCACCAGCATTTTTTTTTTTACAGTAGCCATTCTAACGGGTGAGGCAATATCTCATTGTGGTTTTGATTTGCATTTTCCTGATGATTAGTGATGTCGAACATTTTTTCCATATACCTGTTGGCCATTTGTATGTCTTCTTTTGAGAAATGTGTATTCATATCTTTTGCCCATTTTTAAATTGAATTATCAGGTTTCTGTGCTATTTAGTTGTTTGATTTCCTTATATAATCTGGATATCAACCTCTTGTCAGATGCAGAGTTTGTGAATATTTCTCCCATTCGGTAGGTTATTTCTTCACGCTGCTGTTTGTTTCCTTTGCTGTGCAAAAGTTTTTGAGTTTGATGTGATTTCATTTGTCTATGTTTGCTTTTGTTGCCTGTGCTTTTGAGGTCTTATTAAAAAAAATCCTTGCCCAGACCAATGTCATAAAGTTTTCACCTACATTTGTTTCTGCTAGTTTAGAATTTTCAGGTATTACACTTAAGTTTTCAATCTATTTTGAGTTTACTTTTTTATAAGTGATAAGAGATAGGGATCTAGTTTCATTCTTCTGGAAATGGATAGCCAGTTTTCTCAGTACCACATGTTAAAGAGATTGTCCTTTCTCCAATGTGCATTCTTGGCAATTTTGTAGAAAATCAATTAGCTATAAATACATGAATTTATTTTGGAGTTCTGTATTCTGTTCCATTGGTCTATGTATCTGTTTTTATGCCAGTACCATACTATTTTGGTTAATATTGCTTTGTAGTATATTTTAAAATCAGGTAGTGTGATGCCTCCAGCTTTGTTCTTTTTTCTTAATCTTGCTTTGGCTATTCAGGGTCTTTTGTGGTTACATACAAATTTCAGGATTGTTTTCTCTATTTCTATGAAATATCTCACTGGTATTTCGATATAGATTGCATTGAATCTGTAGATTACTTTGGGTAGTATGGATATCTTAGCAACATATTAATTTTTTAATCCATAAACATGGGATCTCTTTTTATGTATTAGTGTCCTCTTCAGTTTCTTTCATCAGTGTTTTGTAGTTTTCATTATAGAGATCTTTCACCTCCTTGGCTAAATTTATTCGTGGTTTTTTGTTTTTTTTTGTAGTGACTGTAAATACGATTGCTTTCTTTATTTGTTTTTCGGATAGTTTGCTGTTGATATATAGATGATTACTGAGTATATTTCCAAGGGAAATGAAATCAGTATGTCAAAGATGTATCTTCACTCCCATGTTTATTGCAGCACTATTCACATAGCTAAGATAGAAAATCAACCTGAGTGGCCACCAACAAATGAATGGATAGATTTTAAAATGTGGTATATATACATAATAGAATACTCTTCAGTTATAAAAAAATGAAATCCTGTCATTGTAACAATATGGATTAACCTAGATGACATTATGTTAAGAAAATAAGCCAAGGACAGAAGGACAAATACCACATTGACTCACTTATATGTGGAATATCAATTATTGATATCATAGAAGTAGAAAGTAGAATAGTGGTTACCAGAGAGTAGAAGAGTAGGGAGGAGGGTGCAAAGGTATAGTTAGGAGAAAGAAATTCTGGTGTTCCATTGCACAGCAGGATACTATAGTCCACAACAATGTATTGTATAAAATATTTTAAAATACCTGAAAAGGAGGATTTTGAAAATTCTGACCACAAAAAATGACAAGTGTTTGAGGTAATGGATATGCTAATTACTCTGATTTGATCATTACACAATGTATATATGTATCCAAACATCACAATATATCCCATAAGTATGTACAACTATTATGTGTCAATTAAAAACAAAATAAAACTTTTAAAAAGAAATAATGACATAAATCTGTTCATTCTTCTGATAGTTTGAGTGTATATTTTGTTTTTTAGACATTTAATAGTTGTCTACCTTAAGAATACTTTTCTTGAAATTTATAAATTATTGTTTTAAAACATATCCTGGCTAACACAGTGAAACCCCGTCTATACTAAAAATACACAGACACACAGACACACACACACACACACACACACACACACACACACAAATTAGCCGGGCGCGGTGGCATGTGCCTGTAGTCCCAGCTACTCAGGAGGCTGAGGCAGGAGAATAACTTGAACCCGGGAGGCAGAGGTTGCAGTAAGCCAAGATCACGCCACTGTACTCCAGCCTGGGCGACAGAGGGAGACTCTTGTCTTAAAAAATAAAACAAAACAAACAACAACAACAAAAAAAAACATATCGTCACTCCTAGTTAATTCCTTACTAACCAGATAATCAAATGAAACTATTTTTCCTTGGCAATTGCATCTCATTCCTATATTCTTTCTTGCATGACAGTTTATAGTTTCCTTCTTGGGTCCTTGAAGGTCTTATTCAGTTTGGCCTAGCCCAAAGCCCATATTTGGCTTCAGTGTTGCTTTTTGATAGAAGGCAAGATAAATATCGTAAATTAATTTTTGGTCACAGTTCTTCACCTCTTCCTGTATTCATTTTCATTTTCATGTAACTTTACAATTCCTTCCATAAAAAAAAAATGAGTATACTCTGCTGCTCCTTGAGTTTGGACTTGGCCATGTAACCTACTTTTGTCAGTGCTTTAGCAGACTTGATGCAGGTTATGTGCATGGGTATTTAGGCATGCCCCCTTGTGCCTCTGCCATCACTGCGAGAGGACGCTGAGGACACGTGGAGCAAAGCCATCCAGCTGATATGAAATATGGAACTAAGCTGCCTGAGATGACCTGCAAACTTGTGATCTAGAAAGAATGTTGTTTGCCACTGAAGTTTTGAGTTTGTTATGTAACAATAGTTGCCTGTTACACAGCCCAAGAGTTGACTCCTTTCCACTCTCAATTCATTCAATTCATTCATTCATTCATTCATCTATTCAAAATTCTTTTTTATTTTTTTTTGTTGAGATGGAGTCTTGCTGTCACCCAGGCTGGAGTGCAGTGGCATCATCTCGGTTCGCTGCAACCTCTGCCTCCCAGGTTCAAGCGATTCTCCTGACTCAGCCTCCCAAGTAGCTAGGACTACAGGCGCGTGCCACCACACCCAGCTATTTTTTTGTATTTTTAGTAGAGGTGGGGTTTCTAGCCAGGATGGTCTTGAACTCCTGACCTCATGATTCGCCCACCTTGGCTTCCCAAAATGCTGGGATTACAGGCATGAGCCACTATGCCCGGCCTCAAGATTCTTATTTTCTATTCTGTGCCATTCACTGTTTGATTCAGATATTGTGTAAAAATGTGTATAAGCATATATACACACTATATATCTAAATGCATACACACATATATACACACATACATATGTGTATAAATTTCATGGTACATACATGTGTATATATGTATATATAATATAAATATAGATGTATTAGTTTCTTATTGTTGCCATAACAAACTACCAAATTACTACCAAAATGGGTCTCACTGGGCAAAAATAAAGGTGTAGGTAGGGCTGTATTTCTTTCTGGGGGTGCTAGAGAAAAATCTTTTTCTTGACCTTTTTAAGCTTTCAGAGGCTACTTACATTCTTTGGCTTATGACCCTCTTTCTTCATCTTCAAAGTCAGCCGTGTTGGGCCGAGTCTTCTCACACTGCTGTCTCTGGTTCTCTCTTTTCTGTCTCCATCTTCACTCATAAGAACCCTTGTGATTACATTGGGCCCACCAAGTTAATTCAGGATTATCTTTCATCTCAGCATCAGCTAATTGGCAACCTTAATTCATCTGCAACCTTAATTCCACCTTGCCATGTAACTTAACATATTCACAGGTTCCAGAGTTTAGGATATGAACATCTTTGGGGAGTCTTTACTTTGCCTACCACAATACCTAAAGTCATATATTGAATCCTTAGGACCAGATGTATTTTGAAGTTCAGAATTTTTAGGATTTAAAGATAACACTCTCAGCAGTGTCTGCAACAGCATCCTATATTCAAGCACATTAATCTTTCTGCAGGAAATGTATGAATATTCACCCCAAGTGAAAAAATAAAGACTATAAATAGCCTCATGTCAGTTGAGGTCAGGCTTTGTCACCAAATGAGTTCAGTTCAGGTCAGAATTTTGTTGCCAAATGAGCTATAAAAAAAACTTGGGTTTTGAACTTTGGGGATTACAAAAGTGCAGATAGTGTGTACATGCATAAAATATGATTGGAAATATGCAACAATATTAATACTCATCCTATGTTCTAAATATTTCTTAGTCTTGATTTCTGGCTTCTTTTCTTAACTTTCAAGTGAACACCACTCAAAACCTACATACTAGTCCAAAAAAGCCATAAATACATTTTGCCTGGTTTTGAACTTTTAAAAATTGGAATCATAAAGTACATATTATTTTGTGTCTGGTTTATTTGCCTTCATATTACTTTGTGTAAGATTCATCTACATTGTTGCATGTAGTTATAGTTTTTTTTCATTCCCATTGATTTATTTAGTATTCCATTTTGTGAATGTACCCTAGTGTATTCATCTACTCCAGTGTTGATGGACATTCAAGTTGTCTCTATTTGGAGGCTACTATTATTAGGGCTGCTCTGAACATTCTTGTTAAACATATGGGCACATTTCTGCTGGGTATATACCTAAGAGCAAAATTTCTGGGCCATAGAGTTTCAGATGCTTTCTTTTAATGAATATTTCTAAGCAGCTTTCCAAAACTATTGAATTCATGTATTGTTTGTTTAATCAGGGGTGAGGTTACAAATAAAGATATAAAATAAAGAAAAATTCTGTTTGCTTCCTGGAAAGAACACTGGATTGTACCACCAGTGACTTATGTTTCAGGTCTGACCTTGCCACTAACCAACTGTGTGGCCTTGGACAGTCACCTAATTTCTCAAGGCTGAGTTTTCTTATCTTTAAATTAGAAAGTTGGAGTGGAAGGCTGCATGTGAACTTTCCAATCTCTGAGTCTAGCTTTAAGGGACAATACAGTAGAGATTTTAAAATAATTTTGTTCACTGTTTCATTCACTCTTTCACTTATTCTACAAATATTTATTAAGTATCCAACATGATGGAGACAGACATAAAAAAGTACATTGAGCAAAGGTTAATGGAGGTTGTAAAAAAAAAAAAAGCACATATAGGATATATGAGTGTCATAAATTTCTTTAATGAAGTTGCTGCCTCAGCATCCACTTTTAGACCTGACATGAGTTGTTTGAAACCCAGTCCTACCCTATCACTTTTGGCCTAGTTAAAATTTTTCCCACTGTGGTTGTTTGAGATATAGCCCACCTATTCCTTATCTCACTAACTAAAAAAACCCAACACACCCCACAGCTGCTACCATGATAAAATCTAATGGTCAACACCAGAGTCATGTAAATATGTTCCCCCTCTTGCTTGTGTTTTCTTAAACTAGCCAATCCACAATCTCAAGGAAAAACCTAAAGGGTAACACCATGCCTTAATAAAGGCATAGTCCCACAAGTTTCACTCCCTTTCACTTCCCATCCACTGGTTGAGCTTCTTGTCACCTCATCTTCCTGTCAGCCTCCTGCCAGCTCCCCTAGCCTCTCTGGGATCTGTTAAGTAATATGTTTCTTCCGTTTCATACATTTTGGTTTTACCTGCTATACCAAAATGGGTCTCACTGGGCAAAAATCAAGGTGTAGGTAGGGCTGTATTTCTTTCTGGGGGTGCTAGAGGAAAATCTTTCCCTTCTCAATGTATTTTCATACATTTGGTTTTACTGTCCTTCAGTGTTTCACCTGAAGGACACACTGGAACATAACTTTCCCTCAGTACGGGCTCTCCTAGAGAGTGTCTATCTTGGCTTATGCCCAACCTTGACAGAGAGACCTCAAGACCAAATGAGAAAGGAACTATAACAATGGAAATCATAGCAATGAGGCATCTGAACACAGAGGGGCCCTTCTACTGGGGAAGGGTAGGAAAAGGTAGGCATTCTGGGAGAGAGAGGGCTGTCAAAGAAAACTCCTTCAATTAGCTCAAACTGAAAAATAAAATCCAGTAAAAAGATTGGAAGGAAATCTCTCTCTTTGCAGGAATAAAACAGCTTGGGCTCTTGAAAATGGCACATTTGTGGGTTTATTCTCTCTGTGACTCTTTCCCATAGGAAACCATGGTCTCTCAATTCTGCTTCTTTCCAGACTTATTTCTCTTCTCTAATACTCTTAGTTCCTGCTTTCCTATTATTTCTGTGTTCATGTGTCCTTGGTTTGCTACTGTCACTTATGCCCCCTGTTGTATGGTTTTTTCATTCCCATCACCACCATTGGTTTGTCTCGTTCAGTACAGTATCTGCTTTTGCACTTCCTGAAAGTGTTTTGTATAGCCCCTCAGTATCCCAAATCCAAATTCCTGGGAAAGAGAATCTGAGGAGCCATAGCTGAACCAGTTATTTACTCTGATCCAGTCATCTGTGTCCAGGATGAAGCAGAGATTCTTGATAAGTAATATTTCTTTTCCAGTAGTTAGGCATTCTCATGAGAAAGGGCTTGTGGAACACAAGCAATGACAGGTGAGTTTGCTGGGTCTGACTGGCAGACCCCGGGCAAGTGACGGATTAAAAAAAGTATGCAGACAGAGGCTTTTTGCCTGGCTGCATGGCAAGGGGACTGGGCTGCTCACAGACACGGAGGAGGGTGCCATAAAGAGTCACAGCAGCCACAGCCAGGACAAGTTGGCACTGCAGGCATTTATTTAGTACAGATTTAATGACAAAGGCTTTGAGTCCACACTTCTTGTGGTAATTAACATGGTCGCTGCCCACTCACCCCCCACACCGCCTACCCCCGGCCCCGCCCCGTCCCGCCCCAGAGAGAGCAGTCCTGCACGCAGATGATTAAAGGCCAGGTCCCGAGGCCTAAGTAAACTAACTTATCTAGATCAATTCCTTTACACTTCCTTGTTATCTACCTTTTGCTCTCAGGCTCCGGATAAGAGAATTTGGCTGCCTTCAGCCAAATTATCTTTCGAAGCTTTTCCAAAACCTTGGCTTTCCAAGACGGTTTGTGTTTCTCCTATAATTTCTCCCACCACCTTGACTGATTTCCTACATGAGTTCATACTTACCATATGGACAAGGTAGGGAAGAAAAAAATATAAATGATAACACAGATGTGATAGAAAGACATGTTCAAGAAAATGAAAGCACTTGAACATGATTATTTAGAACAGAGAATGCTTAGATATTTAGGGAAACTAAGAAATAGGTAGAAGAAAACTGAAAAGATTGAAGAAAGTTGTGGTCTCTTCCTTCACATATTGTGATAAGTGAAGAACACTCAGCATAAAGAATCTTTTCACAGAAGGACAGGCATCAAAAGGAGTAGGTTAATGAATTTGCACTGAAACAAAAAATAGAAAGCATAAAAGGTGACATTGAGGGTGAAACCATTTGTATATCCTAGACTAATTCTTTAATTATTTGATTGTGGTTTATGAGAACTATCTGCTAATTCTACTATTCTTTAATATGCAAAATGTGGTGTTCAGAAAGGCATTGTTTTCTATACTACTATCATGATGAAATTTAACCGTGGATTATAAATTACCATTCATACTTGCTAATTTGCTGTTGTGTCTATGTTTTCTTAGTTTTTAATTAAACAAAATAAGTTTCTCGTAACAAGAGAGAAGACCTCTGCAGAAATACATGTCAAATATTTCAGAGAATGTCGAAAAAGTACTGAACATTCAAACCTCAGGATAATTCCTCCTACTTAGCACTGCCATGGCAATAAACAAAGGTTTCCATAATATTATATACATTAGTTGCTGGGTCAATGGGAAATAAATTAACCTGCCATACTCTTGCTCTAGAGAATTCATTAGCTTGTCCAAGCAGTAGATAAAATAGTTTCTAAAGTCCTTCAAATGTGCATTTACTTGTCTTCTGTCCTTTTATAGAACTGAATGTCATAAAGGAAGAACCTATTTGCCCATACTTGCTCTTAATTCTTTTAAACGTCTCTGTTTAAGAATTCAAAATATACACATTGAAGAAAAAGAACTTGGAAGTACTGACTGTTGTGTTACTCATACAAATGAATGAAATCGTGTCATGCGTTGGTTGTTGACATCACTGAATTTGATTACTAGTCACTCAAGATTTAGATCTGGGATGGATTTGGATCCTACTTTCTCTTTACATTACAGTTTAGGTATTATTATGTTCACTTATTCCTTGAAATCCAGTCTCCTTAGGAAAATGTTACTGAGCCTTAATTATTTTAATTGATTTTATTCTGCAAATATTTTCTCCCTTTTCTAATCAATCAAACTTAGAAAATGAATTATTAGCCCTACCTTCAGCATAAAATATTAAACAGTTTTTGACAGTTTGTTTGGATTTAAATTTGACCCACATAATAAAGTAAAATAACTCACATAAATACAGGACTAAAGAAATCTAAAATATTGTGTTATTATTTATAGACATTTACAATAATTCATCCTCAGTGGAGAGAACATCAGTTATGCCCCACTGCCCTTATTCCACATTTCTTCATGACAGAGATCATGACTAATTTGGATTGATTGTGTCAGCTTGAATTATGACCAACTCATCAGCTGGATTACTGGCCTGAGGTTAGGTAAATGCAAGTTGAGAGTTTAGAGAAGACATAAACACATTTGGATAATTTGATGGTTTGCATATTTAGCTGCAAGCAATCATGACTCAGTTGTGATCTGTATTCAGGAATACTTCATTGAGTTACAATATGAAAAACACATCTGTAAACCAAATGATACATTTTCATAAATTTCTTCCTTATGCATAATATATAAATGCTAAGTTTAACATTTGATGTTTCTTCTTTTACCCTTTTTCCAATCCATTTTCCACACAGCAGCCAGTAGATATGTATGTAGGTAGATAGATGAAATTATAATTAGAATAAAATTAAAAAGCCATACTTGACATATAATGCCATATATATTTGGCACCTGCTTGCTCTCCAACCTCATCTCAGGACACTATCTGACTTAATAAATTGAGCAACATGAGCTATTTGCTGTTTTTTGCTTGTTTGTTTGTTTGTTTTTTGAAGATGGCAACCTTTCCTTGTTTCTTCTGCCTATAATTCTTTTCTCAGTACTCAGCATACCCTGCACTTTCTCATCTTTCAGGTCTTATCCAAAACCTCATCTCCTCAGAGAGGTCCTGTATTGTGTCATATTTAAAGTAGGTTCCTTTGATCTCCTTTGTAATCACATCATGTAACCATCCAAGAATGTAGGAACATGCTCATGGCCCACTTACAGGGCATGAGACACAGATGCTCAACTGAAATTTATTGAATAAATGGATATTTAGTAATTATGATGATGTATAAATAGAATGAGCATCTGCTTTCTTGAGATATATTTATTCCTAGTAAAATGTCAGAAACTTAAATAAGCACAGTTTTCCCCATTATCTCCTTCATAATATTTACATTCTCCATGCCCATTTTTTCCAAAGGTATTAAAATGAACTCTAAAAATCTGGCAAAATTTATTCTCATGGTACAAAACTAGGACAAAGCTTGTCTCTTCTCAGATCCTGCATAATTTTATATCAGATGGTTAGAGCTATACAATTCATTGTTTATCTTTGGTGAGACAGCCAAGTAACTTAGATGTGAGCTTGGGCATACTTACTATCTATGTCCTGTCTTTCCTATTCCCTCTTTTGTATTTTGGTTGTTTGGCACTAGTACAGAAATGTCTAAGCCAGACCCTGGGTATGGCTTTTCAAAGATTATGAATGAATGGACAGGGTCCTGACCTCCAAAATTCCCACTTTGACTCCTAACTCCATTCACCCACTTGTCAGGCCCTCAGTGTATACTATAGTGTTTTCTGACTCACAGCTGGATACTCTTCGAATTGAAATCTGTTCTTATTCCTTATCCTGCCTTTCCAACATTTGCTAGGATCTTGCCCAAACCACACATAGCCTTTTTATCTTTTTATTGAAAGTTCTTTTAAATAATCTTATTGCAAGAAGATGGGGTATAATTAAAGTTTTAAAAAAAGAATTATTACTAAAGGATTCATGTATACAACAGTAATTTAGGCTTCTCTCCAAAAAAAATATAAAACAACCGAAAAATAAGTCTCTCCAATACACAGCTATAGATTTAAATACCATATAAAAATATTTGTGTCTCCCCAAAATTCATATGTTGGAACCCTGACCTCTACAGTAATGATGTTAGGAGGTGGAGACTTTAGGACATAATTAGGTCATGGGAGTGGAACCCAAATTAATGGGATAATCACCCTTATAAAAGACACCAGAGGCCAGGCGTGGTGGCTCACACATGTAATCAATCCTAGCACTTTGGGAGGCCAAGACAGGTGGATTGCTTGAGGCCAGGAGTTCAAAACCAGCCTGGTCAACATGATGAAAGTCTGTCTCTACTAAAAATACAAAAAATTAACCAGGCGTGGTGGCAGGTGCCTGTAATCCCAGCTACTCGGGAGGCTGAGCCAGGAGAATTGCTTGAACCCGGGAGGTGGAAGTTGCAGTGAGTCAAGATCACGTCACTGTGCTCCAGCCTGGGCAACAAGAGGGAAACTCCATCTAAAAAAAAAAAAGACACCAGAGAGAGACTTCTCACCCCTTAAACTAAGTGAGGACACAGAGAAAAAGTGCTGTCTATAAAACAGGAAGTTAGCCCTCACAAGACAGCCAATCTGCCAGGACCTTTCTTCATAACTTTGGGCAATAAATTTCTATTGTTAATAATCCATCCAGGCTATGGTATTTTGGTATAGGAGCCAAAATGAACTAAGATAGTAGTAATTTGACCATTTGACCCACAAAACCAGAATCTTGGTATAACTAAACCAAAGACTTAACACTTCCTCTATGCAAAGTGCTTGCAAAATTATGTTGTGCCATAGGACATTAAGTTCCAATGTATCATGATTTTTAAAATAAATAACCTACAGACTATTCCAAAGGAATTTTTTGATCCAATGTATCATGATATTAGAAGGAAATAGCCTACAGATTATTCCAAAAGAATTTGTTGAGCTCCAACCATGTCACAGGCTTATTTACCTTCAATATTTTGGTGAAAAGGGAATCAAGAAAATATATAAGTAGCTCTATCGTTGGGAATACCTACCAAAATAGGTGCAGTAAATGTTACTATGGCACTTAAACTGTATGTCTCAAACTCCATGGGTAGGCTTGCCCATTTTTGCTCTATGTAAATTAATTGAATATGCCTGTTATGACAGCAATGTCAGACAGCGAAGCTTTGAAGATGGCACCAAAAATAACTCTCATTTGTATTGAAATATGCAAGAACCTTTGACTTGTGAATGTATAAGAGTGCATAATCAGGGCAATAAAGCACAGTCTACAGTGCTGAAGGGCAGTCAAGGAACTGGCATAGTAACAGTAAGAGTAAGATGCTCTACTCACCTGTGAGCTGTTGTCACACTGAGTGTGAATATCCTGCAGTGTTGATGGACTTGTTTCTTGTCATCTTGTGTCTTTAAATCCCTTAAAGTTTTCAGATAGTAACTATAATTGTTGGAAATATTGAATGTGCACAGAAATATTGAGAACCCAGTATAAGTTTCCTATGAAAAGAAGAAAACACAGTCTGGGTGTTTCTCTGAAATATAAGTGATCTTATTTCAAGTCATTGTGTAGTCAAAGCCTGACATTATCCCCCTTGTACCACATTGCCCCTAGAGAATCCCTTTGCCAAATTCCACCCAGCATATGACATAAGAAGCACACAAGAATATCACTGCTTTTTGTCCTAGAGTATTCTAAAGCAAATAATTTTACTACTAAATAGGCAAATGAATATATCTAACAAATAAGGATTAAAAAAGAAAGCATAATCACAATAGCATCATTATACCAATGTAATTAATATCAGTTCCTTCATATCACTTAATACACAATCTATGCTCAATTTTTTTCTGTCTCAAAAATGTCTTATTGTAGTTGATGTGTTCAAATCAGGACCCAGACCACATCTACACAACACATTTAATTCCTGATTCCTATGTCCCTTTTAATATATATCATTTCCTCCTCCTTTATAATTCTGTTACTGAAAAATCTGGGTCATTATTTCCTGCTTTGATTCTGTATCCTCACAATATCATTAGAATGTTTCTATAATTGGTCATTAAATATAGATGCATGATTGGATTCAGGTTTAATACTTATATCAAGAATAGTTTATAGTTAGTGCTGTTTCTGAGTATTGCATCACCAAACATAATTTCTGGTTTCTTCATTTCTTGTAATATTAATACTACAAAAGTGTAACAGGAGGTGTCAGCCTTTACAAAGTCATTCTCAATCTGTTACACAATGGTATAAGCAGCCATTGATGGTCATTGCCTAGATCCATTATTTTACTAGGAGTCTAAAATGCCTATTTTTGCATTCTATCATTTCTCCTACATGTGTTAGTTTCCATTACAAAGAAATTTCTCTCATCAACTATTCGGTTTCTTACCTGTACATATAGGATTTACTGTGAAAACACTTGATTCTTTCCATTTATCGATTTCTAGAAAAACATATTGATATCTAGAAACTGTTAAAATAGAAACTTCAGATTAAAGAAATTTAACAGAGTTTATTTGAGCAGCACTCAAAAGTGGAAAATGTTCAGTGAGCTCTACTTCAGCAGTGTGAGCAGTGGGGCTTTTATGGGATGAACACAGAAGTAAACAAATTGTCCTGTTGGCCACAGCTAGGCATTTGCCTTATTTGGGTATATACAGGGATGAGAGGCATTTGTGACCTTTTTTGCAATCTATCACACCATGCATGGCCAAACCACTACTCTCACAGGGATGTTTTCATTAATACTCTGCTTCTCCTTTTGCCTTCTTACAAACAATTATCTTTATATCAGTTAGTTTGTGGTTTTAAAAACATAAACCAAAACATGTCACTTCTCTTTGTAAACAGCTTCAATGGTTTCTAATCATAGTGACGTTAAAACTGAACTACTTGCTACATTGTGCTTACATGGTTAGTTCATTGATTTCCTCATTGATACAAACACATATCATTCTTTCCTTATTGCACTGGTCTTCTTTCTGTTCCCACATTAGAACCCTTACTGATACGGTTTGGCTGTGTCCTCACCAAAAATCTCATCTTGAATTGTAATCCCCACATGTCAAGAGCAGGACCAGGTGGAGGTAATCAGATCACAGGGGTAGTTCTCCCACACTTTTCTCATGATAGTGAGTGAGTCTCATGAAATTTGATGGATTTATAAGTGTCTGTCATTTCCCCTGCTTGTACCCACTCTGTCCTGCCACCCTGTGAAGAAGGTGCCTGCTTCCCCTTTGTCTTACACCATGATTATAAGTTTCCTGAGGCCTCCCCAGGAATGTGGAACTATAAGTCAATTAAACCTCTTTCCTTTATAAGTTACCCAGTCTTGTGTATTTCTTTATAGCAGTGTGAGAATGAACTAATACAGTAATTTGGTACTGAGGTAGTGGGGCATTGCTATAAGATAAATGAGAATGTGAAAGTAGCTTTGGAACTGGGTAACAGGCAGAGGTTGCAACAGTTTAGAGGATGCAGAAGAAGACAGAAATATGTGGGAAAGTTTGGAACTTCCTAGAGACTTGAATGGCTTTGACCAAAATGCTGATAGTTATATGGACAATGAAGTCCAGCCTGCGGTGGTCTTAGATAGAGATGAGGAACTTGTTGGGAACTGGAGTAAAGGTCACTTTTGCTGTGCTTTGGCAAAGAGACTGGTGGCATTTTGCCACTGCCCTTCATCTGTGAAACTTTGAACTTAAGAGAGATGATGTAGCATATATGGTGGAAGAAATTTCGAAGTGGCAAAGTGTTCAAGAGGAAGCAGTACATAAAAGTTTGGAAATTTTGCAGCCTGATAATGCAATAGAAAAGAAAAACCCATTTTCTGGGGAGAAATTCAAGCTTGCTGCAGATATTTACAAAAGAAATGAGGAGCATAATGTTAATCACCAAGACAAGGGGGAAAATATCTCCAGTGTATGTCAGAGACTTCACAGCAGCCACTCCCATCAGAGGCCTGGAGGCTTAGGAGGGAAAAATGGTTTTATGGGCCAAGCCCAGGGCTGCACTGCTGCTGATCTGGGCAGCCTCAGGACTTGGCACCCTGCATCCTAGCCATGGCTAAAAGGGGCCAAGTTATAGCTGGGCCCATGGCTTCAGAGGGTGCAAGCTCCAAGCCTTGGTGGCTTACATGTGGTATTGGGCCTGCGGGTGCACAGAAGTTAAGAACTGAGAGTTGAGAACCTCTGCCTAGATATCA
Source organism: Homo sapiens (assembly GCF_000001405.40). NCBI lineage: Eukaryota > Metazoa > Chordata > Mammalia > Primates > Hominidae > Homo > Homo sapiens. The sequence continues at coordinate 40,581,908 of NC_000012.12, read as the reverse complement.
GGGGATGTATGGAAATGCCTTGATGTCCAGGCAGAAGTCTGCTGCGGGGGTGAAGCCCTCATGGGAACCTCTGCTAGGGCAGTGTGGAAGGGTAATGTGGGGTTGGAGCCCTCACATAGAGTCCCCAATGGGGCACTGTCTAGTGGAGCTGTGAGAAGAGGGCCACCATCTTCGAGACTCCAAAATGGTAGATCCACTGAAGCATACACCATGCACCTGGAAAAGCCACAGGCACTCAACACCAGCTGTGAAAGCAGCCAGAAGTGGGGGCTGTACCCTGCAAAGCCACAGGGGCAGAGCTACCCAAGACCATGGGTGCCCAACTCTTGCATCTGCCTGATCTGGATATGAGACATGGAGCCAAAGGGGATCATTTTGGAGCTTTAAGCTTTAATGACTTTCCTACTGGACCTTAGACTTGCATGGGGCCTGTAGCCCTTTCATTTTGGCCAGTTTCTCCCATTTGGAATGGGTGTATTTACCCAATGCCTGTAACCCCATTTTATCTAGGAAGTAACTAACTTGCTTCCAATTTTAAAGGCTTGTAGGTGAAAGGGACTTGCCTTGTCTCAGATGAGACTTTGGACTTGGACTTTTGGGTTAATGCTGGAATAAGCTAAGAGTTTGGGGGACTGTTAGAAAGGCATAATTGTGTTTTGAAATGTGAGGACATGAGATTTGAGAGGGGCCAGGGATGGAATGATATGGTTTGGCTGTGTCCCACCCAAAATTTGATCTTGAAATGTAATTTTCACATGTCATGCACAGAACCAGGTGGAGGTAATCAGATCATGGGGGTGGTTTTCCCCATACTGTTCTCGTGATAGTGAGTGAATCTCACAAGATCTGATGGTTTTATGTGTATCAGGCATTTCCCCTGCTTGCACTCATTCTGTCTTGCCACCTTGTGAAGAAGGTGCCTGCTTCTCTTTGGCCTTCTGCCATGATTGTAAATTTCCTGAGTCCTCCCCAGCAAGGCAGAACTGTGGGTCAATTAAACCTATTTCCTATGTAAATTACCCAGTCTCAAGTATTTCTTTATAGTAGCATGAGAACAGACTAATGCACTTACTCTAACTTCTTCTACCTGCACTGTTTATCACATTTATCTTCAAATGTCTGCCTTTTTCTTATTATTCAAGCATCAGGGAGAACTTCCGAGGTGGGGTACATATCACTAGTATTGTGGTTTTTTGCTCCCATATTTCAGCAAGGGGAGGGAAGTGGCACACAGCAGTTTCTTCACTCCCATAGCTTGGCAAGTGGGCCTGTGTGGTGCCCAGTGCCTTTTTCAATCCCATATGTCAGCAAGCAGGAGACAGTGGCACCCAGTGGCTTCTTCCCTCCTGTTGTTTGGCAAGATGGTTACAGTTAATTTATTCCTGCTATCTGCAGCTTGGCAGGCAGTAGCATTACAGCTCTTTCACTCCCACCATTTGGCGAGTTCCAGGTTTTTGCCCCGCAACCAAGAGGAATGAGGTATGTGGATACTGTAGAATGAATAAAGCAGAATAGAATTTTATTGAGTGAAAGAAAAGCTCTCAACAGTGAGAGTGGACCTGACGTGAATACCTGTCTGTGAGCCTGAGTCTGGGGCTTTTATGGGCTTACAATAGGGAATTGGGTGCTGGTTCTTCCATGGATGGTCTTGGAAAAGGCACTAGTTGATTGGTTAAAAGGCATCATTCAGAAGGAACCAGTTGAGAGGGAGTAGGTAAGACGAGGAAGTTCTCACTTCAGTTGTGGATTCTATCTAGAGCTGGCCATTTGGTTTTCAGGCTTTCAGCTGCCCTTCACTTGAAGGTTGGGTTTCACCGGAGATCCATTTCTGTCTGCCTAGGAATTTGTCTGTCTCCTGTTGCTATCACTAGCACACACCTTTTTGCTAGGCACATGGATTATCATATGTCCAAACTCTGCTGCAAAATTACAAGGACATTGGATCAGCTCTGGTTACTAGACTGTGAGCAGAAATAAAATGTGTCATTTCTGGGTTGAGTCATTGGGAATATTCTAATCTCTCTTTCTTTCCATCACAACTGGGCTGGTCTCATATTGACATGTCAACAAGATTAAAGAGATCTTGATTGCCGAGTCATTACATGGAGGACTACTGACTTGGAGAGTTTACAAAACTCATAGTAGACTTTGCATGAGTGAGAAAAGTTTGTTATAAGCCACTATGATTTTGGAGTTAATTTTTTTATGACAGCATATCCTAGCCTGGCCTAACTGATACATTTAGAACACAGTATTAAGTAGTTTTTTTTTTTGTTTTGAGACAGGGTCTTGTTTTGTCCCTCAGGCTGGAGTGCAATGGCCTGATCATGGCTCATTACAGCCTCAAACCCCTAAGCTCAAGCAATCCTCCCACCTCAGCCTCCCAAGTAGCTGGGACTTCAGGTGTGTGCCATATACTTGGCTAATTTTCTTTATTTTTAGTAGACATGAGGTCTCACTGTGTTGCCCAGACTGGTCTTGAACTTCTGAGCTCAAGCAATTTTCCCACCTGGGCCTCCCAAGGTGCTAAAATAACAGACATGAGCCACCACACCAGGTCTGTTTTAAGTAACTTCTTCTTCATGCTCTCATGTTCTGTCTTAGCAATGTGTTTCATTTTTCTCAGAGCTTCTATTTATTTATTTCCTGTTATATTCCCACTGTATGTAAACTACTACTGTATATACTTATTATATATACTAGTAGTATGTAAACTAAACTATATGTAAACTGTACTACTATTCTGAACTAGAAGTAAACTCTGTATAAGGAATCTTTGCTTATGAATCATTGTATTTTCAGGGCCTAGAATAGTAACTGTTCAGTAAATAATTATTAAAGAAATCAATGCAGTGTCTATTACATAGTACTCTCTGGTGCAGATTGGATTTTACAACTGGACATGATTTGAAAAGCCAAATTGAACAGTAGGTGAATTCTTAGCCAAATATATTATGGGACAGTAATGCTAACTTTAATGAAATCTTTTGATAACTTTCCAATTACAAAGTGTGTCAAGACAACTAGAATGCTCATTTCATTATTAGAAGCAGGTGGATACATAGGCATAACGAAAAACACAAGAGCAATAGCTACACAAACATGCAGGCAGTATTTCACTGACACTCCATTTATTTCTTTTCTGTGACAGCCATACAATAATTGATCATAGACTTGGTATTAAGTTCACTGAAATAGGTTCAAATACAGGGTATTGGGAAGACAGGAGAACACTTTGTTTCCTTATCTGACCTCTATTACCATCCAAAGAGAAGGGAATATTTTATACATGCCACCGGGACAAGCCTGGCTAACAGTATCAGGGCAGCTTGTATCCCACTCTCATTTTTTCCTTAAGTATGTAGCTCTCTCATGACCCTCATAAAAGAAATAGTTGATGCTTCATGAAGATTCTGGCATCAATCTCAAATATAGTTAAATGTAATTCTAACCTACAAAGAAAATAAGTCTATTTATGCCTGAAGCCCTTATGGACAGGCTTATATTCTTTGTCACAAGACTCCTGAGCCCCATGCAAATCAAACAATATGGCTGGACAACTCTTTCAATTACCTTCAATAATCTATAATAGCAAAGGCATTTCTTGAACATTGTATAGTGGGGGAGTTATGGCCCAGGACAATAGAATTCTTTTGAGGGAAGTATTGCCTAAGTCACATGCTAGTTTAACAAAATTACCTGAGCCAAAATATGTTGGGAAATCAAGGCACACTACAGGTAGGAGAGAAGAAGAGTGTTTCCAAATAGCAGAATCCAAGACTCAGAGAGTGAAGTGGAGGGGAGAAAAGAAGGAGGAGGAAGGGGAAGATGAAGGGAAATAACAAAATAGTAAGGCCAACTCTCTGAGATGGTGCTATTTGGCAAGCGGCCAAAAATTAGGTTCAGGCTCTAGAAAAATAGAGCCAAGAAAGAGGTTCAGGTTCTCAGAGGTTCTATTTTCCTAGAGCCTGAACCTCTTTCTTGGCCAGTCACCAAAATTGGAAAACAAAATGAGTCTGGATTTCAGGAACAAGATGAATGTTCAGCTATCAGAGTTGAGGCACAAAGTCAATGCCAAACTGGCAACAATTTTGTAGAAAGTTGGGTGGGAGCTGATGCTAGAGGAGGAACTGACCCTGGTGATGCAGGACTGTAGCTGGAGGTCAGCATCAAGTAACTCCAGCACTGGAGAAGGTAAGAGAGAGTCGGAGAACCAGCCAGGGTCTCTGAGGGACCAGATAAGGAAAGCAGGGAAAGCAGTAAGAATGGCAATGAAACTCATTACGTGTGACTAGCTAGCATTTTCTAAGGAAATCCCAAATATCAAGGATCTCATTTAATCCTTACAAACACCCTATGAATTAGCTGGTGTCTTTATGCCATGGGTAAAAAGAGAGAATGAACGAACGATGTTGGTCCCTTCCTTTATCCTACACAGTAACAAATTTGGAATTTTCTTACTGGGAAGTTTGGATTCCTACATATAGGTGAAAGAGAAATTGGCTTTTGATAATTCCAGAAAGATGGCAGTTCTATCTCAATTATTTACCAACCAGCCTAACAATAGAAATAAAATGAACAAAAATGATTTCCGAAACAAATTACTCCAATTTTGAAAATAGAACCATGGAACATAGTTTACAGGGACCTAATAAAATTATTATAAAAGTAATTGAAAATTTTTAGATAGTTATTAAAATAGTGATATTAGCAAGACTGTCACATTTAGAGCATAATGAAACTTTGCGGTGACCTGTATTGCTACCATCTTCTCAATTCCCAAAGTTTGACATATTTCTTTATGACAAAACTTGATTATGATAATGCCCCTATCTAATTGTAGGTATTCTTATGAATTACTATCATGAAATAGTTATTTCCTATATACTTAAGAATGTTATGTGTATTTCTGTTTTGTCAATTTCTCTAAGTAGAGATAAAGTAAGCAGTGTGCAAATCAGTTCATCTAACTGTCATAAGCTGCTTTGCAAGGTTGAGGAAAAGTAGAATAATCACAGATTGCAAAACTATGATAGCAGATGTTTATACAACCTCAAACTTCGGAAGTACATATTTTTATTCTGTTTTACAAATAAGAAAATTGGGTATAAAAGGGTTAAATAACCTACTAGAATGACTATAATTTAAAAAGACAATAATAAGCATTGGTAAGGATGTAGAGAAACATTGCTAATGGGAATGTAAAATGGTGCAGTCACTTTGGAAAACAGTTCAGCAGTTCCTCAAAATGTTAAAGATAGAGGTACCATATGACCCAGCAGTTCTACTGTGAGATATATACCCAGGAGAATTGAAAATATGTATCCACATTAAGACTTGTACATGAATTTTCAGACAAGCATTACTCATAATGGCTAAAATATGGAAACAATGAACTATCTATAAATGAATAAACAAAATGTATATCCAAATAATGAAATATTATTTAGCAGTATAAAGGAATGACATAGTGATAAATACTACAACAAAGATGAACCTGGGAAACATTATGCTAAGTGGAAGAAGCCAGGCACAAAAGGTCACATATTGTATGGTTCCATTTATATAAAATGTCTAGAATTGGCAAATCTGTAGAAATAGAGTGTAGTTTAGTGTTTGCCAGGGACTTGGAGGTGTGGGAGGATGGGGAGTGCCTGCTAATCAGTATTGGGTTTATTTTTGGAATGATGAAATATTCTGGAATTATATAGAAGTGAGGGTTGCACAACCTTGTGAATATGCTAACACTCACTGAATTGCACATTTTAAGAGGATGAATTTTATGGTATGAGTTACACCTCAGTAAAGATGTTATTTTGTGAAATAAGGCTAAGTTATATAGCATTAGGTGGGGGGAACCAATATTTGCACCAAGATAATCTGGCTCCACAGCCTGTGTATTTAACTGCTCTGCATTCCATATCTCTAGTGAGAAGTCATACACTAGGAGATGTCACCTTCTCATTTATTTACTCCAAGGATATAATTTAGTATATGAAGAATGGCCAGACTGAATGCAGACAATTTTCCATGAATAGTTTTCTCAAAACAGAGTTTTTGACAATAATTAATTAGATATAATTAATTTTAATTACTGACAAGAACCTGCAATTTCATTGCAAAAAATTACTTGATGAATATATTCCTAGATAAGTAACTGAATTGTTTAACTGGCTGCCTTTGTTAGATTTTTTTCACTCAAATATCAACAAATGTTTATTGATTACCTACTCTATGCCACATCCTCTTCTAGGTATTAGAGGCAGAGCTGTGGGATAGAGATACAAACTTCTTGCCCTCCAAAAACTTACATTAAAAGGGATAATAAAGAACAAATAAATGTTAACAATAACTGTAATTAAAAGTATATATAGGACTACCACCTGTAGAAAGGCAGATGATGAAAAGAGAGTGACTAGTATATGGGGGATGGATTATAGGCAGAGAAAAAGATAGAATAGTCAGAAATATTGAGTTTTCAAGGTGTTCTGACAAAATTATAGTTCTATATTTTGAGTGTCAGTAATCAAATTTACTCCTTGTCATTAATTTTACAGTAGGACCAGTTGTCTTGAGGCTATTAAAATAGTCTCATTGGCATATAGGAAAGCATATGTTTTTTATTTGTACAATGGAAGGGGGAAGGGAATGAGAAATAGGGTAGTAGAGGAGGCCTCATCCATTTAGTTCTTTTCAAAGCCACCATCAAAGACTTGAAAGACATAGGTAGGCTGCTTTCTGTATCCTTCCCCATTAAATTCTCAGACTTGAATGCTACAAATAATTGATGGGCTCTAGAGAATGATGTTTAATTCCTGTAAGTGGCACAGGTTGTGCTGCCTAGGAGCAGATTCTAAGATGGAGATTTACATGCAGCAGGTTTGTTATAAAGTGTTCTTGGAATCCAGATTTGTGGAAGAGAAGGAAGGAAGCAAGATTGGGAGTCAAGACATTGTGCATCTTCAATGAAAGCCTCAGCAACTTTCTGAGTAAAGAATTCATAGACCAAGTTGGGGAGAGAGCTCTGAGCCTTTCTACTTTCCTCTGCCTTTCACTTCACGCCCCTCTTTTCTCCAGAAGGTGGACATATCAGTGGGGGATGTGGCTGTCTTTAGCTGAGGCAAACCCCTAAGGAGGCTGACAGCTGAAAGCAGTCTTCTGGCAGCACTCTCAGCAGCTGTGGAATAAGCCCTGTTTTTCTGAAGGTGAATCTGAGCAGTGCATCACCATATCCTTCACAATAAACTTAGTCTGGTGATGACTCAAATTGTAGCTGTTTTTCTGGATGTTTCCATTACTAAATGGAACAATATGGCCCCTAGAATTTTATTTGCAAAAATTGATTTAGCTACCTGCTTTCTGATCTACTGAACGGGACTTCTCAGGATGAAATTCATAAACCTGTATTTTTATAAAGATCCCCAATGATTACTCTATAGACAGCCTATAGACCCTCATTTTGGAAGCATTGGTTGTGGTTCCAGACGGTTGTGTCTCTCATTCTGGCCAAAGGGATGTTAGTGGAAGTATGTGTGGCCTCAGAAGAGGAGGAACACACACTCTCCTCTCCCATTCTACTTTCCTGCTGATTGGAATAAGATTGAGATGGTAGCGACTAGTGGGAACCATTGTGGGCCAACAAGATGGAAGCTGGACAGTTCATTCTGCAATAAGACCAAAGAGACTAGGCACAGCCATGCCTCTCTAGGTCACCTACCCAGTTTTGTGTATGAGAGAGAAATACATTTCTATCTTTTTAAAGTTACTGTTATTTTGGCTTTTTCTGTAATCAGCTTAAATCTTAGTAATATGAAGATAGTGGGTCCTCATCATTGAAGTGAAGGACACTCTCTCACACTTTGTTCACCTACACTAGGAAATAGACCCATTGGATTTTAGAAAAATCAAGAAACCTATATGGATATAAATGTCTTTCTTAGGTCTACTCACTGGATGACCTAAGACCTGATAACTCTAGAGGGACTCAGACAAAATATAAGATCAGTTCAGATTATCAAGTTTTCGGTAAAAGCTACCTCAATGTTCAACTCATAATCTGTGTTGATCCAATGGTTCTAGAAGAATCTATAACAGAAAAGTAAAACCTAGTGGAGGGGCCAATGACAAGTCGTAAAATGGTCATAGCAATAGCAGCTTCAGAGCTTTGAGAGCAAGACCACACTACCTCCTGAGGCAGTTTTTCTATTTTCAGCAAATACTAGCTTTCTGTCAATACTAAAATAACAGGTGACCGTGAACCAAAGCCCCTCATCCTGGAGGGGACATTAGCTTTTCTACGTTGCCATGGATTTGGGCATTCTCAGCAGCAATCCATCATCAAGGCAAAGTCATATATACAGAATAGAGTCCATTCAGGTCTCAAAGGCACAAGTCAGAAAGTCAGATCCATGCAATAATTTCTTAAGGCCCATAATGCGCTATTATCTGGCTGCCACATTTCTCTGAATTAATGCCTTTTGCTTAGAGGAGGAATTGCTTATAATCATTTAACACAGGATGAAAAGACTCAAAGCTAGATTGCCTATAGACCCAGTGTCAGTGAAAAGTGAGACTATCTTAGGAGTGCTGTGAACAACAACTGTAAAGGAAAATTCTCTATAGCCACTGTGCTTGGCAGAAGGTTGGCCTGAATTGAGGATTCACACTAATTTTGCAGATACAGCAAATAATTTGTATAGATAGCCCAGGACTTGAGGGGAGAAAAAATGGAGAATGACAAGAAGGGTTGGGGGAATTGTATGAATAATTCAGAACAGATCCATACCTGAACATAAGTGAATGCTTAAAGAAGAAGGTAGCAATTGTAGCAGAAATAAGGGTCATACAGGGGTTCAGCAGCCTAAATTCCCTCCACTGAAGCCACTTGGCATACCACCATGCTAATGATCATGGTTTTGTTAAATAAATGGAAGACAGTGATCTTCCATTTTCATAGTATCACGTCACTCAGCTACTTGGTAAAAAGGAGACAACTTTGATCCTTTTCTGGTGGTGGGAAGACAGCATTTATTTTCTCTGAGATAACCAAGTATGGATTGGCATTTTCATTTTGTGTCTAATACGCCTAGACAAGCACATCTATCTATAGGCTTATTGAATACTTTATTCACTGCCATGAAATGCTGTGCAGCAATGCTTCTAACCAAAGGAATTTATTTTCAAGTGAAGAAAAGTTCATATAGCGTCAAATCAAAGAAAAGAAAGGTACATACATACCTCAATAAATGTATTATGCTTTATTGTTCACAGATGGTAAACCTTAAAGATCAGCCTACTGAGCACTCCACTCTGATACCAGCTGAGGGATTAGTTGGTGTGCTGTTGGCAGGATGTAATATATTAGCTGGACCAGAAATCAATATTCATTTTGTCTCCCTTGTTCTGAAACTCCCAGCTAGCCATTTGGGGTCTCTCATAAGTCTAAAGCAGGCTTACTAAGCAGAAAATGCTGTCAGTATATTATCTGGGATGATCAAATCTGACTGTCAGGTGAAAATAGAGCTGCTACCACATGGTAAGGACTGTAATGTGGGTATAATGTTGACTCTGTGCTCTACTATTTCCTGAGGTAAAAGCTATTAAAGAAACTCCTGCAACCTCACCCATTTGGATTTTCAAGGCCTCAAGCTCCTCATAATTTTGTGAAATGATGAACTCTGGTATGCACTGAGAGGAAGGAAAACCTGGAACCAGTGACAGACATAGAGGAAAGTCAAAGGCCCTGGAACTGACTGTAGAAGTGAGATCTGTAATGCCCACTCATAAGGAATTGTTATCCACCTTTGGTAGCAATTACCAATATACTAACACATCTATTTTCTTCTCCACCATTAGACATACAGTGTTTGATGGTAGTTAAATTTACCACTAGTCCAACTGATACAGAAAAGTAAGAACTTGTTCATAAATAGGTTATGATAATTTGGGTTTGCCTTCATGTTGGGAAGGGGATAAGGGTGTTAATAATTGCACACATTTTACATTTTACCTGTGTAAATAATTTATCCAAGGCACATTTGAATATATATGTTCAGGAAGAAGGATGTGTGTGAGACAGCAAGGCAGTAGAATGTATTAAAGATGACAGCCATAATGTTAGTCAACCTCAGCCTCTTCTTTTTTTTTTTCAGACAGAGTCTTGCTCTGTCACTAGGCTGGAGTTCAGTGGCGCGATCTCGGCTCAGTGCAACCTCTGCCTCCCAGTTCAAGTGATTCTCCTGCCTCAGCCTTCGGAGTAGCTGGGACTACAGGTACGCGCCACCATGCCCGGCTAATTTTTGCATTTTTTTAGTGGAGATGGGGTTTCCCCATGTTGGCCAGGATGGTCTTGTTTTCTTTGACCTCTTGATCCACCTGCCTTGGCCTAACCTCTCTTTTTAGCTACCTATTTCACTGGTATACAATATACATGCACAGGACTGAGATAAAGAAAGATATTTATTTTGGTTTTGGTCTTGCTGAGTTTGTGGTACCTATAGAGCATCCAGTGAGAGATGTTAAATTCAAAGTTGTGTCAATGTGTCTGAGACTCAGAGGATGAGGGTGGTGATACAGACTGGAAATCCTCAAAGTGTAAATATATCTACTTAAATTGACGAAATTGGCCAAAGACTGAGTAAAATGTAAAGCAGAACAGGATGCGACTAGAAAACTAAACTTCAGAGGACTGGCAGAAATAAAGCTGTCCACATGATGTAGGAACATTTAAAATGATGTCACAGAAAGAAAAAAGAAATATCATAGAAACAAGGAGAAAAATGTCTCAAGAAAGGAAGAGTGGAGATGCTGTCAGACCCTGTAGGCAGAGCTAGAGAAGGTCACTGGTGTCCTAGCAGGAGGAGTTGTAGTAGGATGGGAAGAGTGATGCAACTGGCACAGGAAGTGAGAAAAGGAAACCAAGTCTACATTTTCAGTAAGTGAAGGAAATGAAATGGGAGAAGGGCATAAGAAGCTGAAGGATAAAAGGAAAATATATTGAAGAGTCATGATATGATCCAGTTTCTGCTAGACTTGCAGAATTCGTATTGCCGTAAAATAAATACCCTTGCTCACGAATTGCTTGTCAAGTTGTGTTTATTTTTCAGATCCAGTCAACAAGAGAACAAAATTCCTCACAATGAGAACTCATTGTTTTGAGTTATTCTCACATTGTTTAGTTTATTCTCACTTTTTAAATGATTATTTTTCCTCACTTATAAAATAAATACCAGGCCTGTTAAAACTGGGAAGGTGATGTCAGCATTAACTGTACATGAAGGTCGTATATAGTTGGCATATGTCTAAACAAGAGCAGGTCGTGATATGCTTGTATTGGTAAGGGATTGTACTGCCATCAGGACAGTCAAGTACAATGTCTCTGAGTTCATAGTTTTCTTCTCGGCAGCAAAGGCATGAATGTTCCAAGAGTAAGATATCATAATTGTACCTAAAAGAAAAATTCAGTAATAAACATTTTTAGAATTTTAAAAATAAATTGACATCAGTGCTCAAACTGTAACTGTCTAAGTGACTTAGCAAGCCTTGTAACCAATTTATTCTTTTTCTAGACCTTGCATTCCCCCTGTCACTGTAAAGCTCTGATGTTGCTCGGTGGTATTTGGTATGCAAGACCAAGAGAAATAAGAAATCTGAAAGGAAGTTATAATCTCATAACTGGAGCATTATGGCAAAAAAGTAAACTAAATACAATTTTAAATATAACTTAATATGAGATTATTATCTCTATATTAATCTATACATAAAAGTGTACATAAAGGAAAAGCATACTATCTAAATTTCAAGTTTAAGTAATTCAAGAAATTCACTTCTTTGCTTAAATATTTTCTGTAGTCACTGTATGAGATGACTAAATTTGTTACAAATGTATCATGTATATTTAGAAAACTACTTCAGAATGACTCATCACTATTTTAAGTGAATATTTTAGTTCTCAGATCTTAATATCTTAGATTCTTCTTTCATTTGGTCCTGATAACAGAATAGTATTGCTCTCACATAAAAGTTTTTCCGAGTAATATTTAAAAAGATCCATTTTCTCCACAAGGTTACAAAGTTTACACATGATACACATTCAAAGAACTCACTTGGCAGTCTTTTCACATTCCCCTGTGCATTTTGCCATCTGAACTCTTTTCTTGCAACCACTGTAGATAACAGTCACATTTACAAGGGAAGATCTGCAATTATTCTTACCTAAAATGAAATGGAAAAGAGAGTCAGAAGTGAGGTTTAACATTAACAATTGCTAATCCTTCATTTTCTTAACCTATAAATAATAGCAACTACTTCACAACATTATTGAGGTGATTAACCATCTCAGCATCATTACAAGGTAGCTGGTTAATACTCAGATTACTGGTATCTTGTTGTTCCTGTTATCACTATCACACTATCACAGGTGAAGGGGTTGAGGGGAGAAGTAAGAGGAAGGGAGAAGGGAAGACATGGGCGAATGGATTATTTTGATATCCATCAAAAACAGGGGTGGATTAATTATTTTTGACATCCATTTTCTCATCACTGATTATCCTTATGATCTAATGCACCAGTTCACAACACAACTTGCTGATGCAAAAGAACAAGCTCATCTTTTCCATGAAAATTACATTTGTTCCCTTGTAAACATTATTATTTTTACTGAGAAGAATGTTTCAATCAACATGAATATGTGGCCATAATACATTATGTACAAATATCAAATGGAAGTTTATACATGTAGGCTAGATTACCTGTTGTGTTAAAAATACGAGATACTTTCTCTTAATGATCTGCCATTTTGTTTTAAAGAAATTAAACTTTTGTCAACAGCTTACATTTCTCTCTATGCAGAACTTAACTTTACTCACATGTATAGCAACATTTTTTTGAATCATAGATTCTGTCTTCCTGTAAGGGTAAGAAAAAAGAAAAAAGACTGGAAACGTTATTCCAAATTTTTCTGCAAATAATATAACACTTCTTAATTTGTTAAAATGCCTCACATCACAAACAGGAAATGGGACAGATGGACAATCTTACCTCAGATCTAGTAAGCAAAGGACAGAAAAGGAGAAAGATCAGCTGAGTAATAAAAATGTGACTAAAATTTTTCAACAAGGAGTCAAGGAAAAATAAGCTTTAAACTAAATTCTTGTCAAAGATAACATTAAATAATATTAAATTATTTCTCATTTACTGAAAAATACTTTAACAATAATATTACTACTAATACATTAGAAACATAATTAGAAGCAGCACCTTTGAGAAATTGATAGTTTTAAAATTATAACAAAGTGAAAGCATGATAAATATTGAAATCCGGTATTAGAGCTCAAAAATAAAACTTTAAACCATATTATCAATTATATCTTCAGAAAGAAAAATGATAACTTAAACCTCCCTTAATAATTGAAACTTAAGCATTCATTAATATAAAACCCAGTCATATTTGGGGGGCATAGAAATGGAGAAAACTGTGACACAAAGAAAGATCTAAAGTACCCAGACATGATTATACAGAAAAATTGGTATTCTTATAGACTGAGCTATTTTTAAAAGTTAGTGAGTTTTTTAGTTTCAAAATAGCAAAATGCTTTCTATAATAACTTACTTCTTCTAGATTAGCACTAAATTAAGTTTTATAAAGCCTGTAAAACATGAGAGCCTTTCTTGATATGAAAATAATTTATACTTAACAATAAAACATGAGCATGTCTGGAATCATCTGGGCTCTGGATATGATGAATTTGTTTAAAGAGCTATACAACCTACAAGATATTTATGTCTGCTAGCCAGACACAAACATTTTCTAATGAGATAGAAGACAGGTTGATTTTTTTTTTCTTTTTTTTTTTTTTTTTTTTAGATGAAGTCTCACTGTTGTCCCCCAGGCTGGAGTGCAACGGCACAATCTTGGCTAACTGCTACCTCCGCCTCCTGGGCCCAAGTGATTCTCCTGCCTCAGCCTCCTGAGTAGCTGGGATTACAGGCACCTGCTACCATGCCCAGCTAATTTTTATATATTTAGTAGAGACGGGGTTTCACCATATTTCCCAGGCTAGTCTCGAACTCCTGACCTCAGGTGATCCGCCCGCCTCGGCCTCCCACAGTGCTGGGATTACAGGCCTGAGCCACCGCGCCCGGCCAGGGTTTGTTTAATATGAGAACTGAATCTCGGCGTTCATTAGTTAAGATGACTTGCTTCTGCACACCAGGTTTGCTTTGGGCAGTCCTGGACTACTGCAGCAAAGCCCGTGTCTTTGCAGGAGTAGGAGACACAGGGGTTGCTGGGGTCATCGAATGAAGCACCAATCTGGGAGGAAAAGAGGGGGAAGAAAACAAAATAATTATTCACCTTGATTTCTTTTAGAGGTTGGCAAGAACATCAGTTTAAAAATTCAAATTCATGTTTAGTGATTTTCCAGAGGCACTTTGTCATTAGGTTAGTAGTAAAAAAGAAAAGATGGTTTGAAAGTCTTCCACTTCCATGAATAAACCAAATTTGTTCATTGAGAGCACAGAGTGTGTCAAGATTCTCAATCCTCAAATTAAGATTCACCAACAGTTACTCTATTATATTTTCAAGAAATTTTCAAGACAGGTTTTTTATAGTGATCAAGCAGTTAATCAATTGTTATGTTCTAAGCTTAAGGGGAAACAAGAAATTTAAGTGGGGAAAAAATGGCACAAAATAGGCTTATCATATTAAAACAAATGACAAGTCTCACAAGATGTCTTACTTTTCTCTTGGCCTATATTCCTATACTTTTAAAGTTCTCTGGTGTTACTTTATAATTAGCTTATGTTAAATATTCAAACAACAGTTAGAGAAACTGCATTTATTTCACAGCCTCAGACAAGATGAACTTTCTGATAAATTGGAATTTTATTATTAAATGATCAGAAGAAAGCTTTCCTTTTGTTCCTTAAATATCATCATATTTTGTGTTTAAAAACTATCACAGGTTCAAGTCAGATCAACTTTGGAAACTAAAAATTAAGAAGTCCAGGTGGAAATTTGAGTGTGATAAATGGGTTATCCAAGTAAAACTCTCATAGGCTGTTTTATCTATTTCTTAATATACCACATATATTTCACTTTAGATTTTTTAATATTTACTATCACATTTCAAGTGTGTTAATATCAATTTGAGAATCATCTGATTTTTACGGCTTCCTTATACTTTTTTCTAAAAAGTTAAATTACTGTCCAAAATGTCAAATTCGTTGTCAAAATCCAGCCTTGAATGTATTGTGTTGCTGTAGCTGCATAATAGGGTTCTAGCCCTTTGGGTTTTCTTATTTGATCTCTGACAGCTTGACCATCTGATCTTTCTGGTTATAATTACAGTTTGACTCTATTCATTGATTTGAATGTTACAAAGTATGTCTTCTCCATCTGGCAAGGCCCTTGGGAAATTTTGTTCAGAAGCTCTACTGCTGAGTAGTTAATGATCAAGTACTATGTTTTCCTCCTTTGCAGAGTCATGGTGAGTGTTACATTTGATGTTCCTTTGGAAGTGGGGGTGGGGAAAAAAATGAACGGATTCCAATCCATTGTTACTAGGGTTAAAATATATATATATACATACATATATATTTATTTATTATATAATTTCTTATGTATATAATATATATACTTATGTATATTACATATATAAAATAGGCTGAAAGTCCCTTAATGTAGCCCAGCATTAAATTTATTCTTATAATTAACAAAAACATTTTAATGAAGAAAAGACCTTACCTCATAGTCAGTATTGTTAAATAAACATGTTCTTGGTTCTGAAAAATAAACATATTGTTTTATTCTAAAATACTATAATTTCTATTTATAAAACAGAAATTGTAGATGAGATCATACATAGAAACCAACTATGTTTCTACCCATAATAGCATAGTGTTCCTTTAATCTACTGATTATATTCATAATTTAATTCTGGGTAACCCCCATTCTGAAGATGGTAAGATTTAAGAATGCAAATATTATTATACTAATTCTGTATTATTTATTACACCTGCCTAGTATTATGTTCGACAAAATTGGTAGCTCAAAAAGTATCTCTTGAATATGTGAATAAAAAACCAACAAACATATTCAATTAAAATACACACCACAGTATCCGATTTCACAGCAGGTGTCATTAGATTGGAACTTCACAAGCTTCTCGCCGGTTTTGCATGTGGGTGGAGAAGGGCACTCCTCAGGTTTACAGTCTATAGTCTTTGCATCAGTACAGGTACCTCTGTGGCAATTGGCAGTCCATATGTCTCCAGGCTACATAAACAAACCAAGTTTAGACTTCTATTCAAATACAGGAATGAGAGCAAATTTGGATTAAAGTAGAGCAAAACTGTGTACTTACAGATTTCTCTTCTCCCAATGGACCGTGACAAACCGTTGACATAAATGATAAATGGTAATTAAATTTGGCAAAATATAACCATCTGTTATTTATAGATAACCACCAGGTGGCCAGTACTGTAATTGGCATTAGGATTTCAGAGTGACTGAATTATAGAAGATTTTATGTTGCCTTAAGGTGAATAAAATCACGTCCACCTGCTTCAAGCAAACTGTTCCCAACAGGCATATCCTATTTTTACAATCCTCCGCAAAGGATAATTCTTAATTTCTCCAGGCAGTGGTCAATCAATCTTATGGCTACTAACTGACTTACTGTTTTGCAGTCTGACTTCCGCTTTTCCAATCCTACAAGTCACCATGGCTTCATAATTACCAGACCCAAGGGCCCTTTCTCAGTTTTTCTGTGCCATAGTTGACATTTTTCATTCTTACCTTCTTGAAAAATGCTCTCCTTTCTTCAGATTTAATGCTCTGAAATTTTTGTCTTCACTGGCAGTTTGTCTTACTGCCTCTCATTTTGGCTCTAATTCTTTCTTCTGTCTCCACAATGTGCACCATAACATCAAAAGAATGGCTCTAAAATGCCCAGCTCCAGCCCAGACCTCTCTCATAGCTTTGGAGCCAGTTCTCTCTCAACCTATAGACAGAATCCTGGCAGACCTATAGAAACCCAAAACTTGATGTGCACACAACATATTTTATCATCTTCCCCCCAAAACCAGCTTCTCTTCTAGATTGGCTTCCTTCTCTAAGGATAGAACTATACTTTCAATCATTCAAGCTTAAAATCAAGGAGCCATTTGATTTCTTCCTTCTAGCACTGGCGTCAAATCTACTGCCAAATCCTGTATCTTTACACTCACATTCATTTCTTCCTTTCCTTATTCTACTTGCTAAAATGCCACTCCAAGATCTTATTAAAGTTTTGATCTAGCATACTCTACTGGCTTTTTTAAGGGAGTTATTCTGACTCATATCTCTTTCTGATCCAATGAGGTAATGTAATTTTTCTAAAGCCTAATTCTCATCTCATTTACTACTTTGATGGCCCCTTATAGTTGTGTAAAACAAACAGTTTATTCTAGCATTCTAGCTTTTGAGGTCTCTCATATTGTGACTCAAACTGACCTTCTCAACTTTGTCTCACTTCTCTCATTTACATGCCCTGGACTGGTCTATTTGTGTTCTCCAATTCCAATACTGTAAAGAAATTCCTAGATATACCTAATGCTAAATGACGAGTTAATGGGTGCAGCACACCAACATGGCACATGTATACATATGTAACAAACCTGCACATAGTGCACATGTACCCTAAAACTTAAAGTATAATAATAATAAAATTTAAAAAAAGAAATTCTTGGGGATACCTTAAAATATACAAGTGACATACAATATGCACTCTATATATAATACATAGTTTATACTTTTACTTGGAAATTTATTTTCTGCCTGATATGAAAATTGCCTATGTCTTTGAAGACCTTCCTTCTCCCACTATGTACTATGGTCAGAGAATTATTTTTTAGTAATTTTTTTTTGCTCACTGCAAAGCACACCACATTGTCTTGAGAATGGTAGGGACTGAAAGTTCTCTAAAATTACTTATCTCTGGCTAAATGGATTTTTTTTTCTACTACAGCTCATCCCTCAAGTTGGAATTATCTAGTTTAAAAAGATGCTCACTATCAAGTGATAATATTTTGGTTAAGGTATCATAATTATATGAAACATTTAGTAGGTAAACCTTGCTTTGATCTAAGTAACAAGGTATATTTGTTTGGTTTGGCTTCATTGGTTTGTGAAGGAGGAAATGAACTATTACTCACTATTTGGTGAATAAAAGCTAAGTTAATCCAATACATGTTTTGCTATTTTATAACATTTCCATGGCTAGTGACTTTTATTAGCGTGACCTCTGAAATTTGATTGACAAGAGGAACCATTAATGTGGAACAATTCTGAAGTCGTGGAATTATTACCTGGAGCTGGTGGAAGTGAGGCTAGACATTCTGTGTAAAAACAGGAACCTTAAGTTAGTCTCTGAAGTTACTGGAATAGTATTGGGGCAAGTATAGTTATCTAATTCATTATTCTATTGCTGAAAATAATTGTCTACATAGCTAGTCTTACAAATAGATATATTCCCATCTATCCCCCCTTCCTGCTCCTCGCTGCATTTGAAATTCCACTGTACAGTGCTTCCTTTGGACCTCACATTTTAATGAGAGAAAAATATAAGTATCAAAAGGAGAAAACATCAAGGTAAACTCTTCAAAAATTTTTTGAAGGCAGATCTAATGAATAGAACAATAAAAGAGATTTAAAAAGGGAAAAAAATAATTCTGCTACAGTATAAAATGAGTATTATTAATTACCCAGTTTTAGTCATTTAAAAACTTTTATTCTCCTTATCTTCTTGAAATACTTCAATTTTGCTCTAACTTCTCCCCCAACAAATGCTTTAAACTGGAAATATGTATCTTTTTTAGCCTTTACACGTCACATATTTTGGTCAATCGAACAATTCCCTCATAAATTTCAAATTCTTTTCCAAAACTTCTAAAAACAAAATGAATATTGTATTCAATCTGGTCAGATGCAGTGGCTCACGCCTGTAAATTGCAGCACTTTGGGAGGCCAAGGTGGGCAGATCACTTAAGGCCAGGAGTTTGAGACCAGCCTGGCCAACATGGTGAAACCTCGTCTCTACAAAAAATACAAAAATTAGACGGGCATGGTGGTGCCTGCCTGCAGTCCCAGCTACTAGGGAGGCTGAGGCAGGAGAATTGCTTGAACCCAAGAGGCAGAGCTTGCAGTGAGCCGAGACAGTGCCATTGCACTCCAGCCTGGGCAGCAGAGCAAGACTCTGTTTAAATATATATATGTTTTTCTTGGTAGGTTTTTCTTGGTAGGTTGATATATATATATGTGTGTATATATATATATACACACATATACACACATATATGTATACATATGTGTGTGTGTGTATATGTATATCAACCTACCAAGAAAAAGGCTGACCTAGGAGCAACACAATATTTGAAAAGAACTCAAAATTTCTACATGTTTAGGTAAAGTGATCCCAACAACTAATAGGCCCAAAATATAGATTACAAAATGAATTAAAGGTATGGAAATTTGGGTAATCAAATGTCTCCAACTCTACGTAGGGAGGCTAAGCCAGGTGCTAATTATGGATGCTTAGCAAATTAACAGAAACCAGCAACAGGAGAGAAAGAAGATCAATTAGGCATAAATACAAGAGAAAATATTCCCTGACCAGTGTTTGCAAGCGTTCATTGGAGATATTTGCAAGAGGAGCCATAGAGAACAGTCTCCTAATCATTACATTGGCATCAGAGTAATTTCTCAACTATCTGATCATGTCAGGCTGTTGATCAAATCCTTAAGGGTACCCCATTACTACAAGGATAGTCTTGTTGAAGTTTGGTTCTTTATGAACTTTTCTCTACTTACGTTTCCAATCTCATTACCTCCCTGAAGCTCATTTAGTTATTGCCAACATTTGGTTGATTCCTGAACTTCCCCCATGAGGTCTCATATCTTTATCTTTTCCAGGGCTGTTTGGCAGGAATACCCTCCCCATCCATGCCAATTTTAAACTCAATCATGCCATTTCTCATGTCTTCACTCCACACTACCAATTAATAAGCAGAAATTAGCACTACTCTCACTCCACCCCCCGGACCACATTTTTTGTGCATATTTTTGGGTATCACTAAATATATACTATCTGTGCCCAAAATAATCTCTTCCTCCCACACACACAGAATAAAAAATGGCAAGTGCTGCATCTTGCTGATGTTTTTGCTTTTAATGTCTGCTAGAGAGTCTAGCACACATAAGGTACTAAAGAAATATTAGTTGAAATAGTAACAAAGAAATTAGGGCTTTTCCTATACTGACCTGTTTTATTTTCGGTTTCTACTTCTCTGGTTGCCACGACAGTGGTTTCTGAGAGGACATAAATGGATGGTATTGTGATTTTAAAAATTAGAATAACCTACACATATCAAGTCTGTGTTTATGTACATGCCCAAATGATGGCACAAATTCATACTCAAGGAAAGCTTTGGGTGGAACAGACAATTTATTCCAGTTCATTTCGGTCATTTGATTTTACCTGGCTGGGATACTTGTGGTCTTGTTGGCACTCCAGCTGTAACCAAGGTGGAGCCTTGCAAAAGGAAATATAAGACATTTTAGGACTAGCACCCTTCATAATTCTCTGCTCAGAATTCTCAGTCTGCACGAAGGAGTCTTTAGGAGGGGAGCCCCAGCAAAAGCCTGAACCAAAAACTCCCAGAGGAAAAAAAAAAGGTATCCCTAGTGGAATTTTGAAGTTGTGTTCCAAAACGAAGTTGAATGCCATCATCCTGGCCTCAGTCTTTCACTTCTCTCCTACCCCTCTCCTCCTAACTCAACTTCTTATGTATAATCAAAGCCACACTGAATACTCACCTGTTTGCACTCCAGTTTCAGAAGTTTCTTTGACTCCTGTGGAAGCAGTGACTGCTTAAAAAGGAACAAAAGTGGTGAGTACAGGGGACTAGAGGAGCTACAGCTTAACTTCATTTAAAAATAATTTTTTATTCTTCATGTTTTAGATGGAGAGATAAAACTATGTATTTTGTACATGATGTTCTGAAGAATTACATTATGCCACCCTCTTAGCATTTTTCAAGAATATATTATTAACTATAGTCATGATCTTGTGCAATAGAGCTCTTGAATTTTTCCTCCTGTCTATATGAAATTTTGTATCCTTTCACCAACATTTCCCCACCATACCCCTCCCCACATATACAACTACCCCAACCACTGGTAACCATCATCCTACTCTCTACTTCTGTGAGAACTGCAGATAAGCTATCCTGTCTTCTGAGGTGCCACCAAGACAAATGCATTTATTAGTATCTGACTTACCTGTGGTAGGAGGTCCAGGAGCAGTGGTTTTGTCAGATGCTTCCTTGGAAGGACCTAAAACGAGCAAGGGAAGAGCAATAAACTTTTTTTTTATTTTTTCTTTGTTTATAGCTTTATTGAAAATATTAATTTACAATAAATCACACATGTTTAAAGTGGATAATTTAATGACACCTATTTATACATCTGTGAAACCATCATCCCAGCCAAGATAATGAACACATCCATCAACACCCCCCCAAATTTCTTTTTTTTTTTTCTGGTCTCAGAAGAGCATTTACCTAAGACACGTCCACGTGGAACAAGAGTACCAAAGCACTTGGAATATACTAACACATCTACTAATGCTAGCTCATGCCCCTGCCATGGAAACACTAAGAACTTCTTATTGTAGCAATCCCTTGTTCACAGAGGTGAAGTGAAGATTCTCCTATGACCCTGATACATGTTTCTCTTCTGGGTGCCCTTTCTCTAAATGATGAAAGCTTTTCTCACACTTTACTCTATACATGTTTCACTTCTGGTGCCCCTTCTCTAAATGATGAGAGCTTTTCTCACACTTAAATCTTACTTCATGTAACTTGGTTTCTTAGTTCTCCTGTATTAATTTTGGAGGGAGAGAGTGGGAGAAAATGAGAAAATGAGAGACCTAATGTTGCCCTCAGCTTAACTACATTTTAGACAGGTTTATTCCTAGCTATTGGCTCTTAATCTCCCTTTTCTTATTTACTTTAGAAAACTTGCCTTACTTTTAAATTCTTCCTCTGCCCCTTCAAGATGTAAATCTTCTCCCAGTCTCTTGTCAATCTTGCAATTCATAAATATCTTTCTCAAGGACCTGATAGCCATTCTTTTGAAATACAATTATCAAGAAAAATAATGCCTCTATCTCCCAATCTTTGTGGGAGGGTAGGGGCCTAACTTTGACCTGATTAAGTGCCAATTACCAAACACAGATGACCTAATCATATAGATTAAAGTCTCTCCAAACATCCACCATTAGTTTTCCACTAGCTTAGCCAAGTACTAAACAATTCTCCTGCCTTTTGCTTTATCAGAGCTGAATTCAATCTCTCTCCCCTATTGTAATGGTTTTGACGCTTATTGTAATAGTCTTGAACAAAGTCTTCTTTGCCTGTTTACATCAGGTGCAATTTTATTTTACAGTTGAAGTGTGACATTCATTCATAGAGATAAATATTGGCTATCTGTATTTACTTTGTAAAAAGTATTTACTTTTGTGTTAAAGACAGAGAAATGTTGAGCATGTAATCTTCATTTGAGACAATAATTTCTATTACCTGAGATGGAAGTTTCTGGGATTCCAGTGATTCCACTTGATACCACAGTGGTTCCTGCAAAGGAAAATGAGGGCAAATTCATATCAGCCACAGCCCTTATTCCTATCCTCAGAGATAAACATGAGGAAGAGAAAGCAAATCAGATGACTTTCTGGGTCAGTGCTGCAGCTAGCCCACAGGGCACCTTGTGAATTACAGACACACAAATAACTCCTCTGGCCAGATGAGAATTCATGGATTTCAGTGTCTGCTCTCTCCTTTAGTGGTGCCCTGTGTGCCTTCACAGCCTGACCTGGGGACTCTGGCATGAGCCTGAGAAACCCCAAAACAAGAAAACAACCATAGATGGCTAGGAAATGTAAATTCCCTAATGGGACTTCCTGAGTCTTATCTTTACCCCCAATATTTCCCTATGCTGAAGCAATGGATAGGAGTCATTAATGAGAACCCAGTGGAGTTAAACAGATTTTACCACTGACAGACACTCATTAACCCTAAGAAAGGCAAAGAAGAATGAGGTAGGCAATTGATGTGTGGATGCTACAGTCAGTTCCACAGAAGGGATCTTAGTTTTCTAGCCTTAGGTTCTTACAGCTACCTACTAAATATTTACATACCTGTGTTTGAGCTTCCAGAAATATTTATGCTAGAGGCTACCTCAGTGGTGCCTGTAATAAGAGGGAAGGACACAACACCTTTCCCATCATCAGAAATGTATGGCTTTTCCACATAGCCTCGTTTCTCTGAAGCAACAGAAAACAATTTAACAAGTTTTCTTGCACCAAATGTTAAGCCTGGCATGTTTTCCAATGGACTCTTTCATAATTGTATGTTCAAGGGAAACATGGGGGAGGAAAGTCACAATTGCCTCATAGATCTCACTTCTCTAGATCCAGAATCATCCAGACTTCAATTACTAAATTTGAGAATGTTTTTCTTATATGCACATGATTTACCTCCAGTAAAGATTTCTAAAGTAAATGTAAGAAAAGGGACAAGTTCTCCAGGGAAAGAAAACCAGACAACAAAGTGTGTCTAAACTTGTGATCAAAGGTTAAATATCTAAATCAAAGCCTTAATCAGCACAATTACCTGCATCGATTGAGTAATCTCTTAATCAGCAAAATTACCTGCATCCATCATAGTAATCTCACCTTCTTGGCTGCTGGTGACTCCCGTTGATCCTGGGGTATTGCCTGACAAGACAAAGGGAGTAAAGAAAGAATGTGTCTAGAGAATTATTAACACATCTACAATATATCTTGGAAAATTCATAGAATTGATCTAGGTTGGCCTCATGATCTCTTATTAAAGGGTAAGCAACCACTTTCCAGCCACATTCATTTTCATTCAAAATCTGTACATAGTAAACTCAAATGGAAACATCATGGAGAATCCAAAATGTGAAAAAACTCACCTGATGAAATTTCTGCTTCAGTGGTTCCAACATCACCTTTAAAAGTTGTGGCCTCTGTAAGAGCAAATCAAGAAAAGTGGAAAAGATGGAGAATCTGTCAACATGAAAATGATATGGCAATAGATGACGTTGTTTTGAGAGCATTTATTATTTTTATTAATATTTTTAAATTTTGTGCATACATAGTAGATGTATATATTTATGGGGTACATGAGATGTTTTGATACAGGGGTGCAATGTGAAATAAGAACATCAATAAGAATGGGGTATCCATCCACTGAGCTGCAAACAATCCAATTACACTGCTTAACTGAGAGCCATTTAAAGGAGAATTCCTTTTACGACTTGACTTACCTGTTCTGAAACCTCCAGGTAAGGCTGTTGTTCCAGAGCCTGTTACAGTGTAGCCTGGGATGAGATGTTGAAAGAAGAGGGGGTAATATGAGCAGTGTTTTATAGGATCGAAATCATGGTTTAGAACAAATCCATGTGTTTCTGTGAAACAATGCATTCCTTCTCCAGGATTCCTTTCCCAAGAGGTAAATTAAACATGGTTTTCCCTGTTTTATAGTATTCATTTTGGATAGCTTCAGTCCTCTGGGATCCCTCTTTTCCAAGTTAGTATCATGAACGAGGGCCTTTCCCATCCTCACCTTTTTCAATTCCCCACGCTCACCTGTTTTACTTCCAGTAGGTTGGCTTCTCCCTGAAATTATGTTGGTGATCCCTAAAGTTTAAAAAATGAAAAGGATTGAGAATCTTGATATTTTAATTCTTTCAAGAGAGATTTTCCCCTTCTACTTTCTACTTTCAAAGTTTCATAACTATGAGGCTAGGTTCTCTGAAAAAATGAAATATTAAAAAAACACATCCCCAGCAAATTCTGGCTGATCCTGTTTGAGATTCTGAATCCCAAAATTAGAGGCAATATGGTCTCCTGGTATAATGTGGTATATCCCAGTACTTCAGTACACAGTGCTAAGTCAAACACATTGGAAATTGCTAAACCAGAACTCCTCTCCTTTTCAGGCTCTTTGCCTGTGTCCACCCTTTAGGTCCTGGAGAGCCCAAGGACTATCTTTGTCTGTTTTCTCTTCTCCCTGTATGTAAATAACATACAGTGGGTTATTTAGGGCTAATGTAACCCTAAATAACTCATCAGTACCCAAAGTTTCAAATATTATTTGTAAGCAAATGACTGACAATTCTCTATTCCAGTATAGGCTTCTCTTCTGGGCCTCAGTCACCTTCATCAACTCTTCTGGACATCACTACCTGGAAACCTCAGAGTAATTTGAACTCAAACGATAAAAATCAGACCATACTGTATCATCTATCAAATATTATTTTTAATTCCTCTAGTATATTCCCAAACTTGGTAGATGGCACCATCATCTATCCACCCAAGCACTCAAATCATGAACTAGGAGTCATCTAAATTTATTCCTCTCCTTTATCTCCTCAGCCACACTTGTTGATTCTAACTGGCCAACATCTTGCACACTCTTTCCGCCTCTGCATCCCCTTACGACTAGCTTATTTCAGTCCCTAATCATCTGTCACTTCCAAGAGACTTCAAACTATACAACATACCTCCACCCTTATTCTTACTCTCCTTTCATATCAATCTGCTACCTGTGACAAATTAATCTTCCCAAAGAATCCAACCTGGGCATGATAATTAACCTCTTTAAAAATCCCTTCTCATTGCCCATGGAATCAACTTTTTAATTTTTTGTGTTATAATTGAGGCCAATATTATAATATTCTTATAGAATATAGAATTGATGAGTGATCTTTTTTTCTTCATTTCATGATATTTCTGTCCCAACTTTGCAATCTAGAAGCTCTAAAATCTTCCCAACATTCCCTCTTTCAATGTTCTCTCAACATCTGGGTTGTTTTCCACAAGTATATTGTATTATTGTATTATATACTTCCCTGAAAATTCCATATTGTTTTACATCCCCCAGACATTTTAATAGAAAAGAGAAAATATTCTTTTCTGTCCTAATTCTTTCAAGTAAACAAAAGACCCCCAAGATGTCTTAAGCTTATTTCAGTCATCTTTTATTTATCCAGCCTGGAATTCTTGGTTAGTGGTGACTTTATTTGATATGACAGTAGTATTAGCAAAGACAAGTGTGGAAATACTTTACTTAAAAAAATTCCTGTCCCCATTTAGGTATCTACTTCTGGGAAGCTATGTCCTAACAATGATGTTTCAAATTAAATCTTTAGTTCAGGGTATTCCACAGCATTAATATGACTACCTTCAACGGACTTCAATAAGTCTTCAAATGAAAAGTTTTATCATCTCCTATCAGGGCCTAAATTTCACTAGTAATTAATGAAATCCCCTGTTTGTAATTAATTTCTAATAGTGGTATTGTTCAGTAATGAAGTTGTAGTTCCTGGTAGTAGAGGAAGAAGTTGAGATGACTTAATTTTGAAATCTGGAAAATATTTCATGTTATAGTAGAAGAAATATTCTCAAAGAAGATGGCCTTTTGCCTGAGGTACTCAGAGACAGCTTTCTTTTGTAACTTTGACTAATCCCTGTCGAAACTTCCAGCAAGTGTGATGAAAGAAGATATTCCAGGGGATTTGAAATGAAAATGAAATTGAGGGAAAGATAGTAAAACAGAGAGAGAGAGATCAAGAGAGACAGAGATCATAGTAATGACTTTTTTTTTAACCCAGAGAACAGCATAGACTTGGAAAAATTCACATTTCTTATAAGCCATCCAAGGGCTTCTCTATGCAAAGAGAAACAAAAACCGTACTTTCTCCTAGGCTTCCTCAACTGTGGCAAAACTCTATTCTGGAGCCCTTTTGCTGTGGTTAAATACTTTGGAAAGAAGTGCTTTTCCTTTGCTCCTCAGTTTTAATTCCTGTGGTGTTGCTCCCTCACGTTTCATAGGGACTTCTTGGAAGTGTGGGGGTGAATTTTTTTTAATTAAATTTCTTGGAACCTTAGTCATGAGGATAAACCCATGAGAATAGGTTTAATATGCAATAGAAGTCCAAGATGGGCAAATTAAACACTTTTACTAACCAAGACTGGCATTTTCTAGGCTCTTGAAAACTCCAGCTGACCATATGAAGGCAAGATGGATAAAGGATTCAGAATAACATATCATTCTTAGTTTCATAAAAATCACATCTAAAAAGCTGGTGTGGAGTGGCAAGTTGGAAATAAACAAAAACAAACAAACAAAAACAAGAGCCATCCATCTGCTGTCTTCAAGAGCTCCATCTCACATGTAATTATACCCACAGAGTCAAAATAAAGAAAGAAGGATCTACAATGCAAAAGGAAAGCAAAAAAGATCAGAAGTTGCTATTCTTACATAAAGGACTTTAAACCAACAACAGCAAAAAAGGACAAAGAAGAGCATTACATAGTGATAAAGTGTTTGATTCAAGAAGAAGAATTAACTATTCTAGACATATATGCACCCAGCATTGGAATATCCAGATTCATAATGCAAGTACTTCTAGACCCACAAAAAGACAGCTGCACAGTAATCGTGGGGACTCCAACACCCTACTGACAGCATTAGATTGATCATCAGGGCAGAAAACTAACAAAGAAATTATTGTGCTCACTTCAGCAGCACATATACTAAAATTGGGGTGATACAGAGAATATTAGCATGGCCCTAGTATAAGGATGACACAAAAATTCGTGAGGCATTCCATATTTTTTAAACATACAGCATACCAGAATCTCTGGGTCACAGCTAAAGCAGTGTTAAGAGGGAAGTTTATAGTGCCAAATGCCCACATCAAAATGTTAGAAAGCTCTTAAAGTAACAACCTAACATCACACCTACAGGTACTAGAGAAACAAAAGCAAACCAACCTCAAAACTAGCAGAAGACAGGAAATAACAAAAATCACAGCTGAACTGAAAAAAAAATTAAGATGTGAAAAACCATACAAGATATCAATGAATCTAGGAGTTTGTTTCTTGAAAGAATAATTAAAATTGATAGACGGCCATCTAGACTAATAAAGAAGATCCAGATAAACACAATCGGACATGACAAAGGAAATACTACCACTGACTCCATAGAATTACCAAAAAACAACAAAAACAGCAACAACAAAAAAAAACTCTCAGAGACTACCACAAATGCATCTATATACACAAACTAGAAAACCTGAAAGAAATGAATAAATTCCTGGAAATATATAACCTCCCAAGATTGAACAAGGAAGAAATTAAATTCCTAGACAGACCAATAAAGAGTTCTGAAATTGAATCAGTAATCAAAAGACTGCCAACCAGAAAAAGCCCAGGACCAGACAGATTCACAGCTGAATACTACCAGATGAATAAAGAAGAGATGGTACCATTCCTAATGAAACTATTCCAAAAAATTGGGAAGGAGACATGCCTCCCTAACACATTCTATGAGGCCAGCATCATTCTGATACCAAAACCTGATAGAGACACGACAAAAAAGAAAACTTCAAGACAATAACCTTGATATGATGCAAAAATTCTCAACAAAATACTAGCCAACTAAATCCAGCAGCATATCAAAAAGCTAATCCACCATGATCAAGTAGGCTTTATCCCTGGGATGCAAGGTTGGATCAACATACACAAACCAATAAATGTGATTTACCACATAAACAGAGCTAAAAACAAAAACCACACGATCATCTCAATAGATGCAGAAAAGGCTTTTGATAATATTCAATATCCCTTTATGTTAAAAACCCATAAAACACTAGGTATTGAAGGAACATACCTCAAAATAATGAGTCATCTATGACAAATCCACAGCCAACATCACACTGAATTGGCAAAAGCTGGAAGCATTCCTCTTGAGAACTGGAATAAGACAAGGATGCCAACTTTCCCCACTCATATTCACCATGGTACTAGAAGTCCTAGCCAGAGCAATCAGACCAGAGAAATAAATAAAAGGCATCAGAATAGGAAGGAAATAAGTCAAACTATCTTTGTTTGCAGAAAATATGATTCTATATCTAGAAAGCCCCATAGTATCTGCCCAAAAGCTCGTAGACCTGATAAATAACTTCAGCCAAGTTTCAGGACACAAAATAAGTGTCCAAAGATTAGTAGCATTTTATACATCAACAACATCAAGGCTGAGAGCCACATCTAAAAACACAATCCTATTCACAATAGCCACAAAAATAAATTACCTAGGAATACAGCTAACCAGGGAGGCAAAACAGCCCAATAATAAGAATTACAAAACACTGCTGAAAGAAATCAGAGATGATACAAACAAATAGAAAAAGATTTTATGTTCATGGATAGGAAGAATTAATATTATTAAAATGGCCATACTGCCCAAAGCAATTTACAGATTCAATGCTATTTAAATCTACCAATGACATTCTTCACAAAATTAGAAAAAAAAAGGTTTTTAAAAATTCATATGGAACCAAAAAACAGCTTGAATAACCAAGGCAATCCTAAGCAAAAACAACAAAACTAGAGGTATAACATTACCCAACTTCGAACTATATTACAATGCTACAGTAACCAAAACAGCATGGTACTGGTACAAAAACAGACACACAAACCAATGGAACAGAATAGAGAGCCCAGATATTATGCTATACACCTACAACTACAACCATTAGATCTTCGACAAAGCCAACAAAAACAAGCAATGAGGAAATGACTCCCTGTTCAATAAATGGTGCTGGCATAACTGGCTAGTCATGCAGGAGATTGAAGCTGAACCCCTTTCCTTACATCAGATACAAAAATCAACTCAAGACAGATTAAAGGCTTTTATGCAAAACCTAAAATTATGAAAACCCTGGAATATAACCTAGGAAATATCATTTTGGATACAGGCCCTGGCAAAGATTTCATGACAAAGATGCGAAAAACAATTGCAACAAAAACAAAATTTGACAAATGGAACCTAATTCAACTAAAGAACTTCTGCACAGCAAAAGAAACTATCAACAGGTTAACAGACAACCTACAGAATGGAAGAAAATACTTGCAAACTATGCACCTGACAAAGATCTAATATCCAGAATCTACAAGGAATGTAAACAAATTAGCCAGCAAAAAACAACCCTATTAAAAAGTGGGCAAAGGACATGAAGAGTTATTTTTCATAAGAAGGCATACACATAGCCAACAAGCATATGAAAAATTTCTCAACATTACTAATCATTAGAGAAGTGCAAATCAAAACCACAATGAAATACCATCTCATACCAGTCAGACTGGCTGTTATGAAAAAGTCAAAAAACAGATGCTGGTAAGGCTGCAGAGAAAAGGGAATGTTTATTCATTGTTGATGTGGATGTAAATTAATCCAGACACTATGGAAAGCAGTCTGGAGATTTCCCAAAGAACTTAAAACAGAACCCCACCGTCTGACCCAACAATCCCATTAGTGGGTACCTATCCAAAAGAAAACAAATTTTTCTACCAAAAAGACACATGCATTTGCATTTTCATCGCAGCATTACTCGCAATAGCAAAGACATGGAATCAACCTAGATGCCCATCAATGATGGACTGGATTTTTAAAATGTAGTATATACACACCATGGAATATTATACAACCATAAGAAAGAACAAAATTATGTCCTTTGCAGCAACACGGATGGAGCTGGAGATGCAGCTGGAGGCCATTATCCTAAGTGAATTAATGCAGGAACAGAAAAACAAATACTGTATGTTCTTACTTATAAGTGGGAGCTAAACACTGGATACTCATGGATATATGGATAGCAACAATAGACACTGGGGACCACTATAAAGGGGAGGAAGAAGGGGGCATTGAAAAATTGACTGTTGGGTACTCTGCTCAGTACCTGGGTGACAGGATCATTCATACTCCAAACCTAAGCATCATGCAATACATTCAGGACATGTAACAAACCTACACATGTACCCCCACCCCCACATCTAAAATAAAAGTTGAAAAAATTAAAAAAATAAAAAAAAGACTAGTGTATGGAGAAAATCAATCTGAAGAGCAAGGGCCCAATCTTGATTTACCTGACATGTCTCTTCAAGTGAAATACAAAATCCTATTTCAGCTCATCTTTCCATTCATTCATCACTACCACAAACTTAAGCAAAGAACTGTTGAGAACCCAAAACAAACCACTCACCAGTTGCCATTCCAACTCCAGTGGCAACTCCAACGTCTGTAGAAGTGGTAGCCTCTGAGGAGAAATAGGAGAAAGTGATATAGAATGCAGACATTTGGAAAAATGTGTAACAGTCTTACTTTATGTAATATCCCTATGGGAGCCATCAGGTCCCCAGAAGTTCATGTAGGCAGGTTTCTCCAACTCTTTCATGACTCACTTGTGTTGAAACTCCCAGGTACAATGGTCGTGCCAGTAGTTATCCCAGTGGTAACTGCAATCACAAGAGGAGATAATCAATTTATGAATTCCTTTTCATCTAAAATTAGGATTTGGTTTAGAAAAAAAAATCATAGGTTTCTCAAGTGAACTAAAAGGTTTATCAGGAACTTTCTTGCTTTAAGTGATACATAATGCATGGTCTCATGATGTCATTGTATTGCAAATACGTAACCTGCAATTCACAAGGAGTAAACTATTTATATCCTGGTAATTTGTACTCAATGATTGAGGAAAATGTCCACTAAGTTCATTATAGCCAATTTGATTTACTTTAAGATGAAAAGAAAAAATAATCATTTGATTGCCAGTGCCCACCTATTTTACTTCCAGCCTCAGTGGTTCCACCATTGCCCAAAGAAGTTGTGGCTTCTAAGTGAAGGGAGAAAAGAAGTAAATTCAGAAGAATCCTATAACTGAGAAAATCCAGTGGTATTCCCAGGGTATGGCAGGGAGTGTGTATGTTTGCGGGGAGGGAATCAGTCATATTCCATGACTGAAGCCCCTTATATTCCCTATTAGGTTACCTGTGTTGGAACTTCCAGGTGCAACTGTTGTGCCAGAGACTATGCCAGTGGTGCCTAAAGCAGGGAGAGAGAAAGAGAACCCAAATTGTGATGCATTTACCATCCCAAGAAGAGCATGGACAACAATGACTGTCTGTGACTTGAAAGCAGCAAAAGATCTTTCTTGTGCTATCCTGTCACCATGAAGTGTGCTCTCCATTTTTAAATTCAGACTCACAGTAAACACATTAGGTTGTAGTCCAGCCTTGATTATTTGGCTCCTTAGAGTTAAATGTCAGAGGTTTTGGGGTCTTTTTCACGCTTACCTATTTCACTTCCAGGGTTTGGCCTCTCAGATGTGCCACTGGTAGCTTCTAATGAAAAGAAATGAAAACAATATTTGTGTAAAGGTATTCAACTGCATTCAATAAACTTATAATATCCGAATTCCAAAGTATGACACATCTAAACCTCCAGAGTAACTTCTATCATCTCTGCTGCCTTAAATAGAACTATATGGATTTATATTGCCTCTGTAGGTACTGGGGTAATAGCTTGAATGTTAAAAGGGGAATATTTCTGGACTCTGAGCCTCTTTTTCTATAATTTTAGTATAAGGTTTGGCCCCAGGATAAATGATACAATTTTTATAAATACAAGCTTTGTTTAACAAATATCTCTATGAAAAGGCAAAAGCCCAATGTAGATTTGTGGGAACTCAGGAGTTGCCAATTCTTTGGCCAGGCGCAGTGGCTCACGCCTGTTATCCCAGAACATTGGGAGGCCAAAGCAGGCAGATCACTTGAGGCCCGGAGTTCAAGACCAGCTTGGCCAACACAGTGAAACCCCATCTCTACTAAAAATACAAAAAAAAAAAAAAAATAGCTGGGTGTGGTGGTGCACACCTGTAATCCCAGCTACTTAGGTGGCTGAGGTAAGAGAATTGCTTGAACCCTGGAGGTGGAATTTGCAGTAGGCTGAGATCACACCACTGCACTCCAGCCTCGGCAACAGAGTGAGACTGTCTCAAGAAAAAAATTATATATATATATATTTGTTATTTTTTTCTCATTTCTCATTTTTTCTCATGTATGTTAATATATGCATATATATTTATGTGTGTGGGTATATATATATATATATATATATATATATTTGCCAATTCCACTTTCATTGGTTATGCTTCCTTCCATGGAAGTTATATCTTCTGAGAATAAAAAGGAAGAAAGTAGTGAGGGCTAACAGAAAATCATCAAAAGATATAATGTACCATTGCTGCAGTTAGCCCCCAACCAAAAAAAAAAAAAAACCAACAGCATCTGTTTCCTCATTGACTCACCTGTGTTGAAACTGCTAGGTGAGATGGTGTTGCCAGAGACCACTCCAGTAGTACCTAAAAACAAAATGGAAGGGTACTACTATATCAATTTTATTCTTATAATAAAAGCACATTCTATAATAGAATGAGGCAACCTCAGAATTCTTCATTATGCAAAAAGAACATTTTCAGGGATAGCTTGTTCCAAAGTTAGTTTCTGTGTTTGCAAATGTAAT
Organism: Homo sapiens; assembly: GCF_000001405.40. Taxonomy (NCBI): domain Eukaryota; kingdom Metazoa; phylum Chordata; class Mammalia; order Primates; family Hominidae; genus Homo; species Homo sapiens. The sequence goes on along the minus strand of NC_000012.12, from coordinate 40,548,416 downwards.
GCTCCATTCTCACTATAAACTTGGTGGGGGAAGGGTGCAATGTGAGGTGGTGGTGGAGTCTCAATGAGAACGTCTCTTTTTCTGGGCTCAATGTCAGTAAAACAAAGGTACTTTATTTACCTAGTTGAATGCTAGTGACTTGGCTACCTGATACCCCTAGAAGAAGGAACAAAGCAGGACTGATTACCTGTTGAATTTTCATTTGGGCAAAATATTGGTGTTGTAGAAATTGTAGTGTTCTAGATGAGTTGAGGCATGACAAAAGAGTGTAGTGGTATAGTGTAGTGGTGATTTAGTATCATGGTTAAGAGGATGGATTTTGAAGCCAGAGCGCCTGAGTTGAAATCTGTTGTTTAATCGCTGCGTGATCTTCATTCAGTTAGTGAATATCTTCGAGCCATAGGTTTTCTCACCTGGAAAGTCTGTGAGAACAATAGTGCTTACCTCACAATTTGGGATGAGGGATAAAAGAAATAATAATGAGAAAAATGTGTAGTAGTGCCTGGAACATAGTTCATGCTAGAAAGTGTTAGCTACTATTGCTTTTATTTTAAGTGAAAAGTGAGCAGGTTAGGAAGCTTGTGTGCTCACCTGTATTCATTCCACTTCCTGTGGTCCCAGTGCCTCTAAAGGACGTCGTAGCTTCTTAGAGAGGAAAGGTAGGAAAATATGAGGTGAGAGGAATTAGCATTGTGAGGAAAGTGAAGGATGCACTATTCTTAATAACAGAGCCATGGGAGGCACTTTACTACTAAACTGTTCTGTGGAGGACTCTCACCAGCTGGCTGGCTCACCTGTATTTGAACTCCCAGGTTTAGATGTGTTGCCAGAAGCTACCCTAGTCTCTCTCTGTCACCCAGGCTGGAGTGCAATGGTGCTATCTCTCACTGCAACCTCCATCCAGGTTCAAGTGATCCTCCTGCCTCAGCCTCCTGAATAGCTGGAATTACAGGTTTATGCCACCACAGCTGGCTAATTTTTGTATTTTTAGTAGAGAAGAGGTTTCACCACGTTGGTCAGACTGGTCTCAAACTCCTGACCTCAGGTGATTCACCCACCTCAGCCTCCCAAAGTGCTGGAATTACAGGTGTGAGCCACCATGCCCGGCCTGTGTTTTCTCATGCATAGTTTTATTCCCAAATCAAATAAAGATGCAAATTCCTCAACAGAGGACTCAATTTTTCTGGAATTCAATGGCAGTAAGACAAGTGGCTTTCTTTCCTGCCATATTTACCTATTGTGCTTCTAGTTCCTTGCTTTGCTGACCCTCTAGTGGTAGCTCCTAAAAGGATAAAAATAGAAAAACTTTTTAATATAAAGGTAGACTAGAGTTATAGAGATAACTACTGTACATTTCAGTCATTATTGTGCTCAAGGAAAAATATATCGTTCGAGGCAAATCTGTGTGCATTTTGGCCTTCTGTTGACCTGAAATAGAACCCTCTGAGCCAGTAATTAATTTTTCTGATATACCTAAAATGGAGATAACTAAAATGTATAAAGAAAACTTTTCATACAATTATCACTTTCACTCTCATTTGCAGAGACATATATGTGAGGCTTGGCCCTGGAAATAGAAGGAAATCTGCCCAAGTTAATTCAAAATCAAGTAACAAAATGCTGATCTTAGATGAGAGTTCCTCAAAAACTCCTCCTCGAAAAACTATCCTATTAAGAAGCAAATTATAATTGTAATTTATTATCACTCAAAAGTCATACATGCATGCACACACACACACGCACACACCATTAATTCTCACCTGTCTTCTGTCCCACTACAGTGGTTCTATGGACTCCTGTGGAAGTTGTGGCTTCTGGAAGAAAAAGAGAAGCAATGCGTAAAGGATGAGGACTTAGAAGGACGGGGAAATACACTGTGATGCTCTTATAGAAGAAGAGCAATGTGAAAGACATTTTTGCCATCTTATTTCCAGAAAGGGAGCTTTCTTCTCAGCTTGTTAGCCTACCTGTACTGGAACTTCCAGGTGCAACAGTTGTGCTCAAGGCCACACCAGTAGTGCCTGAAATGAGAAGGCTATGGTGTCATCATGAAGATTCTTTTGCATGGAGGCAGTCTAGGTATAAAATAAATCTGTATTTCCAGGGCCATATCACTCTTATTGTGCACTGGCCAGCTCCGGGAGGCACCATTGACACAGAGTAGTTTGTCCATGTGGCTGTTCTATTAGCATGTTCTTCCACTGACCTTTTTGCTCCTGGATTGAATTATGTATTTTTCCTATATTTTAATTATTTTGTTCCTTCAGTAAACATTTATTGAGCCCTGTTTAGTACTAGGGATCAGTAAACAGAGACTTTTTTCTCAAGAAGCCTATCTTTCAGTAGGCTTACCTAGCACATATAATATAAAACCCTCAAATGTGAGACAAAATAATTTCTTTAACATATTTACCTGTTTTACTTCCAGTGACTTGATCATCTGATGCACCAGTGGTGGTTCCTAATGATTGAAAGTAGGAAAAAAGATTCTGAGTATGTTTTGACATGTAATCAATCACTGAGGAAACCATTCAGCAACTTAATATTTAAAGCTCAGGATGGAAAGCAATTGCTGGTTCATTTTAGTCATCTGTTCACCTGAGACAGAACCTTCTGGGCCAGTCTTGACTCCTGCAGATTCTGTAGTAATACCTATAATATCCACTGGGTTAATAGTCCAGGGAATTACAGCTCCTACTACCCTCTCCAGAAATCTATGTCCTAAGGCCAGTCATTGGAAAAGGCTGGTTCAGAAGCCAGCTCAGGGGAATGGATGGGAGCACCTGCCCTCCCTACATGATAATCTTTCAGATCCAGAAGCAAACTCATGACACAACTCAATGGCTATGCTAACCTCCGAGACCCCTAGTTCTCAGTGATTTCACAACAGTGACTCTAATGGCTTCTAAGGAAGCTTTGGCCTCTGGAAGAGGAAATGAAGCAGAAAAGATGTTTGGGTTTACATATTCCTCCTTGAAATTAAACAAGTGATGACTGCCACTGAAAATATTCACTTACCTGTAACAGAACTTCCAGGTGCAACAGTTGTGTGAGAGATGGTGCCACTGGAACCTGGAATCACTAAGAGGAAGAAACTTATGTCATTTAATTTACATTAACAGAAGGATTAGAAGAAAAACATTATGTTTTTTGTTAACTCAGAGGGCCTATTCCAGAATTCCTCATACACCTTTCAACAAGGATACTTCATTCCAAAAAAGATTAAAAAAAGCAAAGGCTAAGCTCTCATATTAGAAGTATCCTTATTCTCTGAGTACTGGTAAATATCAGGCAGCTATTCATACTTTCCCATGCTCACCTGTTTGACTGCTGGAGAGTTGGCTCCCCAGTGCAGTGGTCATAGATCCTGTAGAAGAGAAAAGAGAGAGAATATTCTGCTGTCTATAAATGTAAAAATTAGAGTGAAACACTAGTATTCTGAAATTTGGGGGCTTGGACAAAGATTTTCAGAGGAGATCACTCTGTATTTATTTCAATCAATTTGAATTGTTAGAACTATTTCACCAACTTCCCATTTTTACTTGGGACTGTTACTGCTTCAGTGATTCCAGAGAAAGTTGTAGCCTCTGAGAAAAAGGGAAAAAGAATAGCAGTGAGGGCAAATATTAGAAGAATCTGAGAAAAGCGTGGTAGGATCACCCAGGCAGACACCTCACTGAGGAGCCCTTCCCAAACAGTGGTTCCTCCCAGCCTGGTGCTTTACCTGAGTTGGAGCTCCCAGAGGCAACTGTCGTACCAGAGAGCACTTTAGCTGTGCCTAGGCAGGAAAGAAAAGGAAAAGATCAACAGAGTGACACATTTGTAACCCTTAGAAGAATGTGGCCAGCATCATGTCTGCCTGGGACCTTAGAGCAGCAAAAGATACTTCCTGGACCTATAAATGACAGGAGGTGGCATTTTCTATGTTTACCATGTACCTTTGTAAGGCCAAGGTTAATGCAGTGGCTAATGTGCCTGCTGATCATTTTTGCCAAGATTGAAGGTCATATAAAAGGCTTTCTACAAATTTACCTGTCTTACTTCCTGGTGCTCCAGTGGTGGCTCCTAATGAAAAGGAAAAGAGAGAAGGAGGAGGAGGAGGAGGAGGAGGAAGAGGAAAAAAAAGGAGAAAAAGAAAGAAGAAAGGAAATTTTGAATTTTTACCCTTGAACTAAAATGTGAAATCTTAATGATTTCTATGCCAAATACAAGTCAGTACTGCAATGATACACATACTGAGTTATTTTCAAAGGAAAAACCCTTTCAGAGTCACAGCTACTGTAACTCTCCGCTCTAGAGGCCTTGAACCCTGAGGCTAGTCCTAGAGAAGAAAAAGCCTTTTGGAAATTTGGGCCCAAGTTGTTCCAAATCTGAAAGGAAATACTGGTTCCTTTGAAACAGCTTCAAAAGGAAATGAAAAGCTCTACTCCACATTAAAGAGATCCTTTGCATAATATATGCAAACTTTCTATAATTTAAAATTATTCCAAAATAAAAAGTTCATTGAGAAAATGTTTTCCCTAACAAATCTATCAAAATACAACAGTAAATAATGAAACCCCCATAATCTTCACCTGATTTTATTTCTGCTCCAGTGGTGCTACTTCCTCCTAGGAAAGTTGTGGTCTCTTAAAGATGGAAAGAAAACCAAAATTAATTGAGTGTTAAGGAAAAAGGATGAGCTAAGTGATATCATTACATGAGAGGAGTCCAATTCAGAATGTCTTGCCACCTACTAAGTTAGAAAAGAAACTTTTCTGACTTTAAAAGTGATGTAAACCTTGAATACACAAGTGTACTTTTTTAAATGGGGAATAAAATAATTTTAACTCATACAGTTCTTAATTAGACTTTAGGTAGTTCTTAATTGGAATAAGATATGTAAACCTCTTAATAAAAATGTTTATATTACAAACTCATCAATAATAGATATACTCACTACTGTTATCATTTTCATTGATTTAAGTATCAGAATTTTCATGTGCAAGAATTTTGCCAGAGGGAGTGGGGACAATCTCAAGGCTGGCCACAAATTGCCTTTGCTTGGATGTCCTGTCTTCAAAAAAAAAAAAAAAAAAAAAAATTGCCAGCAGCTACCGCGTTGGAACTTGGAATTAGAGAGTGAAAGGAATCAATATCTTTATTCTTTACCCAAAATAAAAATAAGAAAGAAAATGGCTGAGGATGAAGGTGAGGAAACTGTGTTTTCTCAATGTGCCAACAAGCTCTTTTTTAGACGTTTCTAGACCCAGGAGTTGAATCTGTATATGTTTTCCATGCACCATTTCTATCTCAGAAAATTTAATGGCAAAAATTTCATTATCTCAATTACTTCCTTTAGATATCAATGAGAGAAAGAAAGACATTTCTCTCCAATCACCCAACTGATTCTCTGTGCCTTAGCTCCATGGTGAAGTCTCCCTGAAGCAGGGGAAAGGAAGATAAAGGAGTCTGAGTGTCACATTTGGTAATTAGGTAAAATCCTGCCAATCTCATAATGCTCATTCTGAAAATACTCTTCACAGGAAGTACAAGCATTAGATGTGATTCAGGCAATGTTGTCTACTGGGAAGCAGGTCGTGCTTCATCAGGGCTTACCTGCAGTGGGTCCAGTGCCAGTCACTCCACTTGCTCCAGGAGAAGTTGTAGCTGCTGAGAGTGAAAACAAAACAAAACAAAATTGAAAACATTCCGGGATTTAGAAAGGGAATGGTCTGCTTTTGCATAGAAGCAGCAAAAGGGAAGACATATGATTGTAGAAAGCATCCAAGAAATGGCTCTGTGCCAAATTGTGGACTCACCTGTGCTGAAACTTCCAGGGGCAACTGTTGTGCCAGGTGCCACCCCAGAGGTGCCTGAAACACAAAGGGATTGAGGTGACCATGGTGAATGAGTAAGTCAAATGAAGACCTGAATCTAAAAGGGATATACTATATTTATTTTCTATAAAAGAAGTCATTTCCCCTTAGGATATGGCAGTTGGTGAACTAGATGCATTTGCCTGCTGTCAATACTTTACAACTAGAGCAGATAGAGAGACAGTGCCCTCAGCTTCAGGCACTTCTGGAGTCTGATAAAAGGGAAACTAGATGGATTTCCCCAATGCTCACCTGCTTGCTTTCCTGGTGCTGCAGTGATGCCTGCTGTGAGATAGAAAGGAGGGGGGAAATGTTTTAAATGTGCTGAAACCATCAGATGTAGGAGAAAATAAAAAGCAAGAAAATGTGTAAGCATGCACACACATATAAATGCATGCGTCCTGGGTCCATGGTGCTCTTTTGTATTTCACACACTCCCATGGAAAACTTTCTGAATTCCACCTCAAATGCTAGTGACAGTTGTAATACAAATGGAAATATTCCATTCCGTCCTCAGACATAAATCTGTAAGTATCCATTCCGGAATTATTAGATTAAAAAAATTGTATCTCCACCAGCAAAACTATCTTGAATCACTTGCAGCATCCCTAAATAAAACACAAACTCTCTCAAGCAAAGTTTAAGAGACCTAATACTTATGATGCTAAATCAGGGGCTGTTTCTTCTCACCAGTTTTGAATCCAGTTCCAGAAGTACCAGTCTCTTCAATGGAATTTGTGGCCTCTGAGGGAAGAAAGAGTGGTGAAGTCTGTGAATTTGGAATACTGGGAGAGGATACTGAGGTGGGACTTTATCATAGCAGCCCTAAAAGACATAGCATGACATTTGACATTAAGTAAGACACATTTCCTTCTTGTTAGGCTACCTGTGTTAGAACTTCCAGATAGAATGGTCGTTCTAGAAGATTCTCCCATGATATCTGAAATGGAAAAAAACAGAAATGGAATAATAGAGCATTGTCTCCCCATTTAAGCTTGGAAGGATCAACATGGCAACCCTAAAGCATTGAAGCCCTTTCCTGAGAACATTCTATTTCTATAAAGAACAGAAAATGAACAACTTCCTAGTACTTCATTTTCCAGGCCAACCAGAGATGAATGTGTTGCTAGTGGGTTTCTCTTTCACTATGTCACAAGGGTAGACACCAGTAACAGACAAATAGAGAGCCAAATCATGAGTGAACTTCCATTCACAATTGCTTCAAAGAGAATAAAATACCTAGAAATCCAACTTACAAGGGATGTGAAGGACCTCTTCAAGGAGAACTACAAACCACTGCTCAACAAAATAAAAGAAGTCACAAACAAATGGAAGAACATTTCATGCTCATAGATAGGAAGAATCAATATCGTGAAAATGGCCATACTGCCCAAGGTAATTTATAGATTCAATGCCATCCCCATCAAGCTACCAATGACTTTCTTCACAGAACTGGAAAAAACTACTTTAAAATTCATATGGAACCCAAAAAGAGCCCGCATCACCAAGTCAATCCTAAGCCAAAAGAACAAAGCTGAAGGCATCTTGCTACCTGACTTCAAACTATACTACAAGGCTACAGTAACCAAAATAGCATGGTACTGGTACCAAAACAGAGACATAGACCAAGGGAACAGAACAGAGCCCTCAGAAATAATACCACACATCTACAATCATCTGATCTTTGACAAACCTGACAAAAACAAGAAATGGGGAAAGAATTCCCTATTTAATAAATGGTGCTGGAAAACTGGCTAGCCATATGTGGAAAGCTGAAACTGGATCCCTTCCTTACACCTTATACAAAAATTGATTCAACATGGATTACAGACTTAAATGTTAGACCTAAAACCATAAAAACCCTAGAAGAAAACCTAGGCAATACCATTCAGGACATAGGCATGGACAAGGACTTCATGACTAAAACACCAAAAGCAAAGGCAACAGAAGCCAAAATTGACAAATAGGATCTAATTAAACTAAAGAGCTTCTGCACAGCAAAAGAAACTACCATCAGAGTGAACAGGCAACCTACAGAATGGGAGAAAAATTTTACAATCTACCCATCTGACAAAGGGCTAATATCCAGAATCTACAAAGAACTTAAACAAATTTACAAGAAAAAATCAAACAACCCTATCAAAAAGTGGGCGAAGGATATGAACAGACACTTCTCAAAAGAAGACATTTATGCAGCCAACAGACACATGAAAAAATGCTCGCCATCACTGGCCATCAGAGAAATGCAAATCAAAACCACGATGAGATACCATCTCGCACCAGTTAGAATGGCGATCATTTTTTAATGATCAAGTCAGGAAACAACAGGTGCTGGAGAGGATGTGGAGAAATAGGAACACTTTTACACTGTTGGTGGGACTGTAAACTAGTTCAACCATTGTGGAAGACAGTGTGGCGATTCCTCAAGGATCTAGAACTAGAAATACCATTTGACCCAGCCATCTCATTACTGGGTATATACCCAAAGGATTATAAATCATGCTGTTATAAAAACACATGCACATGTATGTTTACTGTGACACTATTCACAATAGCAAAGAGTTGGAACCAACCCAAATGTCCATCAATGATAGACTGCATTAAGAAAATGTGGCACATATATACCATGGAATACTATGCAGCCATAAAAAAGGATGAGTTCATGTCCTTTGTAGGGACATGGATGAAGTTGGAAACCATCATTCTGAGCAAACTATCGCAAGGACAGAAAACCAAACATGTTCTCACTCATAGGTGGGAATAGAACAATGAGAACACTTGGACACAGGGTGGGGAACTTCATACACTGGGGCCTGTCATTGGGTGGGAGGAGGGGGAAGGGATAGCATTAGGAGATATACCTAATGTAAATGACGAGTTAATGGGTGCAGCACACCAACATGGCACATGTATACATATGTAACAAACCTGCACTTTGTGCACATGTACCCTAGAACTTAAAGTATAATAATAAAAAAAGGCATTTCTGAAATCTACCTGTCTTAATTCCTGGTGCTCCAGTGGTGGCTCCTAATAAAAAGAAAAAGAAGAAGAAGAAGGATGAGAAAGAAAGAAAGAAAGAAAGAAAGAAAGAAAGAAAGAAAGAAAGAAAGAAAGAAAGAAAGAAAGAAAGAAAGAAAGAAAGAAAGAGAGAGAGAGAGAGAGAGAGAGAGAAAGAAAGAAAGAAAGAAAGAAAGAAAGAAAGAAAGAAAGAGAAAGAAAGAAAGAAGGAAAGAAAGAAAGAAAGAAAGAAAGAAAAGAAATAAAGAACAGAGAAAGAAGAAAAAAGAAAATTTTGAATTTTTATCTCTGGAGTAAAACATGACAACCTAATGGGTTCTGTGCTGAATACAAGTCAACACTATGATGATATGCAGACTACGCTCTTCTCAAAAGGAAATCATTTCAGAGCTGTAGCTACTACAGCTCTCCTCTCCAGAGGCCTAGAACCCTGAAGTTAGTCTCTAGGAAGGGAAAGCCTTCAGGAAATTTGGGCCCACATGTTTACAAATCCAAATCTAAGAAGAAACTCTGTTTTCCCTGAAATATTACAGCCTTAAAAGAAATTTAAAAGTACACTCCACATTAAAGCGATTCTTTGCATAATCAATGCAAATTTTCTGTAACTTAAAAAGTTATTGTTAAAAAATGTTTCCTGTAAGAAATCTATCAAAATACAACAATAAATAATGAATACTGCAAAATATTTACCTGATTTTATTTCAGTTCTAGTGGTGCCAGTTCCACCTAGGGAAGTTGTAGTCTCTTAAAGATGGAAAGAAAACCAAAATTAATTGAGTATTAAGGAGGAGGGATGAGCTAAGTGGATGTCAAGATGTGCAATAAGCCTAATTCAAAATGTCTTGTCACCTACTGTTAAGTCAGAAGAGAAATCCTTCTGACTGTAAACATGATGGAAACCTTCAATATCCAAGTTTAATTGTTAAATGGTGAGATAAAATATTTTCAAATCATATTGTCCTTAATTGAAATTTAAGTGTTTCTTCATTGGAATAATTTATTTAAACTTAATTTCAAAAGGTATACAGTCAGAACTGAAATTAATCATAAATGATTGATATGCTTATTACTATTATCATCCTTATTTATTATTAGATTTTTCACATGCGAGCATTTTGCCAGAGGCTACCACATTGAAACTTGGAATTAAAAAGTGATAGGAATCAAAATCTGAATTCTTTACCCATAATGAGAATGAACATGTCATATCATGAAGGTGTGGGAACTATGTGTTTTCTCAAAGTGCCAAGAAGTTCTTTTCAGAGGTTTCTAGAACCAGGATTTAACGTATATATGTTTTCCATGCACCATTTCTGTCTCACAGAAAATTTAAATGACAAAACTTTCAATAACTCAATTATTTCCTTTAGATATCAATGAGAGAAATAAAACCATTTCTCTCCAATCACACAACTGATTCTCAGTGCCTTAGCTTCATGGTGAAGTCTCCTTGGAACAGAAGAAAGAAAAACAAAGGAATTTGAGTGTCGGGCCTTTAGTCATTTAGGTAATATCCTGCCTATCTGGTAATCTATGTTCAAAAAATACTCTTTACAGGAAATACAAATACTACATGTGATTGAGGCAATGTTGTCTACTGGGAAGGAGGTAGTGGATTGTCAGTGCTTACTTGAAGTGGTTCTAACCCCAGTCATTCCACTTGCTCCAGGAGAAGTTGTGGCTGCTGGCAGAGGAAGGACATGAATGGAAAAGACTCAGGGGGGATGGAATGGAATGGTGATGCTTCTGCATTGAAACACTCAATGGGAAGATATTATAGCAAGCACCCATAAAAGGATTCCCCGCCACACAGTGGATTCACCTGTGCTGAAACTTCCAGGGGCAACTGTTGTGCTAGGCGCCACCACAGAGGTGCCTGAAACACAAAGGGATTGAGGGGACCCAAATCTTAAAGGGATATGCTGTATTTATGTATTTATTTATTTCCTACAACATACATCTCTCTCTGAGCATGAGGCTGATGGTGAACTATATATATTTGCCTGCTTTCAAAAATTCATAACCAAAGCACATAGAAAATGTTTCCAACTTCAAGCACAACTACAAATTTGATAAAAGGGAAACTAGATGCATTTTCTTGATGCTCACCTGCTTGCCTCCCTGGGGCTGAAGTGATGCCTACTGTGAGGTACATAAGAAGAGCGAAGAAAGATTTAAATGTGTTGAAACTTCAGATGTTGGAGAAAATATTGGGGAAGCCAATCGTAAGATACATATACACATATGCATGCATGCACCCTGGTTCCAAGGGGCACTTTCCTACCTCACACACATTCACACATGTACACACAGAAAACTATCTGGCTTCCAGCTCAAATGCTAGTGATACTAGTAACAAAATGGGAAAATCCCATCCCATCCTCAGCCTCAATGAAGGGAGACTCAATTTTAGAATAAGTAGCCTTTCAAAAAAGATTTCTCCCTAATAACAAACCTGTATTGAATCACTTGCAGTGTCTTTATAAAAACCACAAACACCCTCAAGGAAAGTTAAAAGACCTAATCTAGATGACCCCAAATTATGGGCTTTTTAGTCTCACCAGTTTTGAATATAGTTCTGGAAGTTCCAGTTTCTTCAATGGAAGTTGTGGGCTCTGAGGGAACAAATACAGTAGGGAAGTCTGTGAATTTGGAATACTGAGAGGAGATACTGGGGTGTTATTTTATCATAGCAGCCCTAAAAGAGATATCATGACATCTGACATTAAATATGAGGCACTTTATTCCTGTTAAGCTATGTGTGTTAGAACTTCCAGATATAATGGTTGTTCCAGAAGATTCTCCAGTGGTACCTAAAAAGCAAAAGGGATAAATGCAGCAACAGAGCATTTTCTCCCCATTTATGCTTGGAAGCATCAATGTAGCCCTAAAGCACTGGAAGCCCTTTCCTGAGGATACTCTGTCTCTGTAGCGAATGGAAAATGAACAACTTCTAGCACTTCCTTTTCCAGGCCAACCTGAGATGGATGTGCTGCTGCTGGGTTTCCCTTTTACTATAAGGCAAAGTAGAATAGGGTTTAAATCACGCTGACCTGTTTCCCTTCCAGGGACATATCCTCCTGATGTACCAGAAGCGCCTACAGGAGAAATACAGGAGAAATCCTGCTTAAGGTTTTAACCTTATAAGCAGGATTTTTGATACAGCTATAGGGGCATTTAAATAATCAGTTGACTTCATGAAGCTTTCTAGTGAGGGGAGAGAAGAAATAAACATCATGTATAGCTAAATGAGAAAAATGATAGAAAGTGTCCAGCTGTGGGTGGAAAGGTAAATTGGGTGAAGGACGGCTGGACGTTCTGGAAGGATGGGATATGTGGAATAGACTCTCAAGCCTCATATCAGAAAAAAATGTCTCCATAAGCCAGGGTACTGAAGACAGCCTAGCTGAGCCATCTGAGCTCATGGAATCACAAGCAGAATAACTGACCAGATATAGGACACAATATGGCCCCAGAGAAAATTCCCCCTCCCTCAAAAGCCTTCACATTATTTATTCCCTGTATCCACCCAGACAGAGAGATGATGAGAGCCTCAGGCCTCAGCCTAACAAGCTCACCACCCAGTGGTCCTGCTCGGGTGCTCCCGCTGCCTCCTGAGAAAGTTGTGGCCTCTGACAAAGAAAGGAATTAGATGTATGAAGACTGCACAGCACATTCTGGGGCCCCATAAGCTGTATTGCCCAAAGGCCATGTTGAGAATTCCTGACCTGTGTGGGCACTTCCAGCTGCCAGAGTTTTACCCTCAGTAGTACCTGAAATAAGAGAGGATTGTGATTAGTTGGTCAATCTGTTGTCATTAATGAAATGGTTATAGACTCCTATAGAAAAAAAAAAAACATTTTTATTAAACACACCAGAAAATTTATTTCTCTAGAGTTTCTGGTTTTTTTTTTAAGAGTTAATCCATATATTGCCCTTGGAACATATAGTTCCTTTGGCAAGTTTATAGAGAAAGTCCTCTACCACAGAGTTCCTTATTTAGGGTATTGTTACAGATAGATAGATTTGGGCCCACGTCACCTCTATAACTGTCGGAGAATGGGCTCCATGATGCCCTGATGAAGGGTCCTTAGACCCAAAGCACAAGACATAAGGAGGAAATGTTGAAGTGTCTGAACTATATTTATTGATGTTAAATATTGATCATCTGCTAAATGTTTTTCTAATATGCCAAATATGGGAAATTCAGATTTTTGCCTTATTCTAGCAAGACATGGAAAATCATATCAATGTACACTTAGTTCCTTAACTGAGCTCACCTGTGATTGTTTCAACTCTTGTTTTTCCACTTTCTCCTAAAGAAGTCGTGGCCTCTGTAAAAGAGGGAAAAAGAATAGCAGTGAGGGCAAAGATTTGAAGAATCTGAGAAAAGCATGGTAGGATCACCCAGGCAGACACCTCACTGAAGAGCCCTTTCCAAGCACTGGTTCCTCCCACCCTGGTGTTTTACCTGAGTTGGAGCTCCCAGGGGCAATTGTTGTAGCAGAGGGCACTCCAGCTGTGCCTAGATAGGAAAGAAAAGAGAAAGATCAACATAGAGACCCTTTTATGACCCTTGAAAGAATGCGGCTGACAGCATGTCCATCTGTGACTTCAAAGCAGGAAAAGACGCTTCCTGGTCCTATAACTGACAGGAGAGGCATTTTCCATGTGTATCGTGTTCCTTGGTAAGGCTGAGGTTAACACAATGGCTAATACGCTTGTCCTGAATTTTTTTTTTTTTTTTTTTTTGCCAATGTTGAAGGTCATTTGAAAGGCTTTCCCCAAGTTTACCTGTCTTACTTCCCGGTACTCCGGAGGTGGCTCCTAATGAAAAGAAAAAGAGAAGGAGAAGAAGGAGGAAAGAAAGAGAAAGAAGGAAGAAAAAATATTTTTGAATTTTTATCTCTGAACTAAAATATAGGCATCTTAATGATTTCTACACTGATTTGAAGCTAGTACACTAATGTTATATAGACCATGCTCTTTTCAAAGGGAAAACCATTTCAGAGCCAGAGCTATTATTGTAACCCTTCTCTGCAGAGTCCTAGACCCCTGAGGTTAGTATCTGAAAAGGCAAAGCCTTTAGGAAATTTGGGCCCACATATTTACAAATCCAAATCCAAGGAGAATCTCTGTTTCCCTTAAAATATTATAGCTTTAAAGGAAATTTAAAACCACATTCCATATTAAAGTGATTTTTGCATTATCAATGCAAATTTTCTGTAACTTAAAATTATTTCAAAATTTAAAGCTCATTAAAAAAAGTTTTTCTCTACAAAATCTATCAAAATACAACAATAAATGTAAATACCCCAAAGTCTTTACCTGATTTTATTTCTGCTCCAGTGGTGCCACCTCCTTCTAGGGAAGTTGTGGTTTCTTAAAGATGAAAAGAAAACTAAAATTAATTGAATATTAAGGAAGAGGGATGGGCAAGTGGATGTCAATACATGAGATAAGCCCAATGCAAAATGTCTTGTCATCTACTAAGTCAGAAAAGAAGACCTCCTGACTGTAAAAGTGATGGAAACCTTTAATACACACATTTAATTTTTTAAATGGGGAGATAAAACATTTTAACTCACATGGTTCTTAGTTGGACCTCAGTTATTTCTTAATTGGAATAAGATATGTAGAATTCTTAATAAAAAAGCGTATATAGTAAGGAACTCATAAATGATAGATATGCTCACTACTGTCATCATCATTATTTATTGCTTTAAATATTATAATTTTCATGTGCAAGAATTTTGCCAGTGGCTACCAAAAATGAACTTGGTATTAGAGAACCATGGGAATCAATATCTCAATCTTTAGCCATAATGAGAAGAAAATGGCCTACAATGGGGTAAGGGAGCTATGTTTTCTCAGTGTGTCAAGAGGCTCTTTTCAGAGGTTCTAGAATCAAGAGTTAATTTATATATGTTCTTCACACCATTTATATCTCATAGAATATTTAATGACAGCCATTCCAATAACTCAATTACTTCCTTTAGATATCAGTGAGAGAAAGACATTTCTTTCCAATCACCCAACTGATTCTCAGTGCCTTAGCTCCATGCTGAAGTCTCCTTGAAGCAGAGGAAACGAAGATAAAAGAGTTTGAGGATCTGACGTTTGGTTATTAGGTAAAATCCTGCCTAACCAGTAATCTTTGTTCAGAAAATGCTCTTCACAGGAGGTACAAACAGTAAATGTGATTCAGATAACCTTGTCTACTGGGAAGCAGTTAGTAGTTCATCAGTGCTTACCTGCGGCAGGTGCAGCCCCAGTCGTTCTACTTGCTCCAGGGGAAATTGTGGCTATTGAGAGAGGAGGGACATAAATGAAAAAGATTCAGGGGCCTAGGGATGGAATGGTGGTGCTTCTGCATAGAAGCACCAAAGGAAAGACATTATTGTAGCAAGCACTCAAGAAACGATTCCTGTGGAATCAGTAAAGAAACTGTGGACTCACCTGTGCTGAAACTTCCAGGGGAAACTGTTGTGCCAGGCGCCACCCAAGAGGTGCCTGAAACACATTATATCTCTTTTAGGGTCAGGTCTTCATTTGACTTACTGACCATTATGACTCAGTAAGTCAAGTGAAGACCTGACTCTTAAAGGGATATAATGTATTTATTTGCCATAACTGAAATCTCTTTTTTTGAGGTTGTGGCAAAGGGTGAACTAGATGTATTTGCTTGCATTCAACAATTCATAACCAAAGCAAATAGAGAAATACTGTTTGCAACTTCAGGTGCTTCTCCTGGAAATTTAATAGAAGGGAAACTAGATGCATTTCCCTAATGTTGACAAACTTGCTACCCTGGCACAGTGATGCCTGCTGTGAGATAGAAAGAAGGGGAAATAAGGTTTAAGTGTGCTGCAAACTAGATGTAGCACAAAATATTAAAGCAAAGTTTTATCCATATACAGATACACAGATATGCATGCATGCATCCTGGTTCCATGGAATTTTTTTCTATTTCACACACATACACACACTCACACACACACACACAAGGAAAACATTCTGAATTCCAGCTCCAATTCTGGTGATAGGTGTAACACCACTGGCGACATCTCAACCCATTCGCAGACCTGGAGCAGTGAGGCTCAATTCTAAAATTAGTAGATTTCCAAAAAAATTTAACTCTATAGAGAATTCATTTTTAATTGCTTGCAGTGTACCTAAATAAAATGTAAATACTCTTAAGAGAAGCTTGATTCCTAATCTGGATGACCCCAAATCATGGACTGTTTATTCTCACCAGTTTTGAAGCCAGTTCCAGAAGTACCAGTCCCTTTTGTGGAAGTTGTGGCCTCTGAGGAAAAAAAGTAGGAGAATAGTGACATCTGGGAATTGGAATACTACAGAGGATATTGGGGTATTACTTTATAATAGCATCCCTAAAAGAGATATCATGACATCTGACATTAAATAAGATGCATTCCCTTCCTGTTAAGCTACCTGTGTTAGAACTTCCAGGTATAATGGTCATTCTAGACAATTCTCCAGTGGTACCTAAAATGCCAAAAAAGGGAAATGGAGCAATAGATCATTATCTCCCCAGTTAAGCTTGGAAGCATCCATGTGTGGCCCTAAAGTACTGGAAGCCCTTTCCTGAGGACACTGTATCCCTGTAGAGAATGGAAAATGAACAGTCTCCAAGTACTTGATTTTCCAGGCCAACCTGGGCCGTGTGTGTTGCTACTGGGTTTCCCTTTCTCTATGAGGGAAGGGACGAATAAGGCTTAAATCACCCTGACCTATTTCCCTTCCAGGAGCATAGCCCCCTGGTGTGACAGAGGTGCCTACGGGAGAAACAAAGCACACTTCTATATTTATAAGTAGGACTCTTTGATACAACTTGGAGGATTTTAATAATCAGTTGTTTTCACTAAGTTTTGTAGGAGGGGAGAAATATCATGTGTAAGTAAAGGAGAAAAATGATAGAAAATGTCTCAAACTGTGGGTGGAAAGGAAAACTGGGTAAGGAGAGTTGGAAGTCCTGGAAAGTTGGAATATATGCAATATACGCTCATACTTCATATCAGAAAAAAATCGTTTCCATAAGCCAGGACACTGAAGGCAGCCTGGCTGAGACATCTGAGGTCATGAATTCACAAGCAGAATAACTGACCAGGTTGATATGACACACTGTGGCCACAGAGAAAATGCAGGACCCTCCCTCAAAAGACTTTCACTGCATTACTGTTCATTACTGTTCACTGCAGCCACCCAGATAGAGAGATGATGAGAGCCCCAGGCCTCAGCCTGACAAGCTCACCTCCTGGTGGTCCTGCTCGGGTAGTCCCACTGCCTCCTGGGAAAGTTGTGGCCTCTGAGAGAGGGAGGAATTGGAGGTATAAAGACTGGACAGGACATTCTGGGTTTCCCAAAGCTGATATTGCTTAAGGGGCCATGTTCAGAATTCCTGACCTGTGTGGGCACTTCCAGGTTCCAGAACTTTGCCAGAGGTGCCCTCAGTAGTATCTGAAATAAGAAAGGTGGTCAGCTGGTCAATGTGTTGCCTCTCATGAAATGGGCATGGGCTCCTAAAGGAAAGATAATAACTTTGTTTCTTCAATATACCAGTACATTTATTTCTCTGGGCTTTCTAGTTTTAAGAGTTTATCCATATATTGCTCGTGGAATATATAATTCCCTCGGTGAGTTTACACAGAAAGTCCTCCACCACTGAGACCCTTTTTTTAGGGTTTAATTACAGGGAGATAGATTCAGGCCAAGTCACCTCTATAACTGCAAGGGAATGGGCCCCATGCTAGCCTGATGAAGAGGGCTTTGACACAGGGAACAAAACACAAGGAGGGAACGTTGAAGTGTTGGAACTGTATCTATTGATGTTAAATATTGAACACCTACTAAATATGTTTTTAATATGCCAAATGTTGCCATATTAATATGCCAAAAATATGGCATATGTTTTTAATATGCCAAAAGTCAAAGAATTTTGCTATATTTCAAGTGAGACATGGGAAGTCATTACAAAGTACATTTAGTTCCTTAACGGAGCTCACCTGTGATTATTTCACCTCTTGTTTTTCCATTTTCTCCTACAGAAGTTGTGGCTTCTGCAAATGAGAGAAGAGGAATAACAGTGAGGACAAAGATTTGAAGAATCTGAGAAGAGTATGGTAGGATCACCCAGGCAGACAACTCACTGAGGAGCCCTTCCCAAGCACTGGTTCCTCCCAGCCTGGTGCTTTACCTGAGTTGGAGCTCCCAGGGGCAACTGTTGTACCAGAGGGCACTGCAGCTGTGCATAGGTGGGAAAAAAAAAAAAAAAAAAAGATCAACGTGAGAACAATTTTGCGATCCCTGGAAGAATGTGGGCAACAAGTCTATCTGTGACTTTGAAACAGCAAAAGATACTTCTGGACCTATAACTGACAGAAAGATAAACGTGTTGCATGTCTACCATTTGACTTTGCGAAGCCAAGGTTAACACCATGGCTAATATACCTGCCAATCTTTGCCAAGGTTAAAGGTCATGTAAAAGGCTTTTTCCATATTTACCTAATGAAAAAAAAAAGAAGGGAGAAGAGAAGGAGGAGGAGGAAGATAAGAGGAGTAGGAAGAGGAGAAGGAAGAGGAAGAAGAGAAGAAAGAAGCAGCAGAGGAGGAAAAAAAAGAAGCCGGAGGAGAAGAAGCAAGAGGAGGAGGCAGAGGACAGGAGGAGGAAGAGGAGGAGGAGAAAGGAGAAGGAAGAGGAAAAAAAAAAGTATGAAGAGAGAGAAAAAGAAGAAGGAAGAGGATGAGGTAGAGAAAGAGAAGAAAGGAACAGGAGGAGAGGAAAGACGGGGAACAAGAAGAAAAGAAAAAGGAGGAGGAGGAGGCAGAGAAGAAAGAAGAAGAAAGATTTAGAATTTTTTCTTTGAACTAAAATGAGACATCTTAATGATTTCTAAGATGAATAGAAGTCAGTACTGTAATGTAATACAGACTAAGCTCTTTTCACAGGAAGAACCATTTCAGAGCCAGAGCTATTATATCTACTCTCTCAAGAGGCCTAGAACCCAGGGGTTAGTCCCTGAGAAGGGAAAGCCTTTAAGAAATTTGGGGCCAAGTGGTTCCAAATCTGAATCCAAAAAGTATTGCTGGTTTCCTCGAAATACCATAGCCCCCAAAGGATATAAAAACTTCATTCCACGTGAAAGGGATTCTTTGCTTTATCTTTGCACATTTTACATAATGTAATATTTCAAAATAAAAGGCTTAAAAAACCCATTTTCCCTAAGAAATCCATGAACTTGGAATCAAACTGTAACAATAAATAATGAAAATACCCAAATCTTCACCTGATTTTATTTCTGCTCCAGTGGTACCACTTCCTCCTAGGGAAGTTGTGGTCTCTTAAAGATGGAGAGAAAACCAAAATTAATTGAGTATGAAGGAAGAGAGGTGCGTTAAGCTGATGAGACTACATGAGACAAATACAATTCAAAATGTCTTATCATCTACTACTAAGTCAGAAAAGAAACCCTTTTCCATGTAAAAGTGTTTATCTTCAAGACCAAGTTTAATTGTCCATTTTTAACTCATGGGTCTTCTTTGGACCTTAGGTAGTTGCAATGGTAATAAGGTATGTAAAGGCCGTACACAATATGTACATAGCAAGGAAATTATAAATGATCAATACGCTCATTACTATTATCATCATTATTTATTGCTTTAAGTATTAGACTTTCCATGAGAAAAAATTTTGCCGGTGACTACCAGTGTGTAGTAATTACATTGTGGAATTAGAAATAAGAATCAATATCTCAATTCTTCACCCATAATGAGAAAGAGAATGGCCTAGGATGGGGATAAGAAAACTATGTGTTTCCTCAATGTGTCAACAAGCTCTGTTCAGAGGTTTCTAGAAACAAGAGTTAATCTATATATATTTTCTACACATCATTTGTATCTCATGGAATATTTAATGAATAAAATGTCAATAACTCAATCACTTCACTTAAATATCAATGAGAGGAAGAAAAACATTTATCTTCAATCTCCTAACTGATTCTCAGTGCCTTGGCTCCATGATGAAGTTTCCTTGAAGCAGGGGAAAGGAAAGTTAAAAAGTTTGAGTGTCTGGCCTTCAGTTATTAGATAAAATCTTGCCTATGTGATAATCTTTCTTCAGAAAAATGCTCTTCACAGACAGTACAAGCAGTAGATGTGATTCAGGCAACGTTGTCTACTGGGAGGCAGGTAGTGATTCGTCAGTGCTTACCTGAGTTGGGGCCAGCCCTAGTTATTCCACTTGCTCCAGAAGAAGTTGTGGCTGCGAAGAGAGGAAGAACATAAATAGAAAAGATTTAGGGGACTTAAAATGGAAAGGTGGTTATTCTGCATAAAATCACCAAAAGGAAAATCATATTATCACAGCAAGTACCCATGAAAGGATTCCCCACCACACTGTGGACTCACCTGTGCTGAAGCTTCCAGGGGCAACTGTTGTGGCAAGAGATACCCCAGAGGTGCCTGAAACACAAAGAGACTGAGGTGATCATGGTAAATGAGTAAATCAAATGAAGAACTGAATCTAAAAGGAATATGCTCTATGTATGTATATATTTATTTATTTATATGCCACCACAGAAATCTCTCACTGAGCATGAGGCAGATGGTGAACTACATGTATTTGCTTGCTTTCAACAATTCAAACCAAAGCACATAGAAATTGTTCCCAACTTCAGGCACACCTGGAAATTTGATAAAAGCAAAACTAGATACATTTCCCCAATGCTCACCTGCTTGTTTCCCTGGGGCAGAAGTGATGCCTGCTGTGAGGTAGAAAGAAGAGGGAAAAAAGGGTTTAAATGTATTAAAACTTGAGACATAAGAAAGAAAATACTGAGCCGGCATTTTTGTTCACATATACACTTATAAATGCATGTGTCCTGGGTCCATGGGGCTCTTTTCTGTTTCACATACACACACTGAAAACTTTCTGAATTCCACCTAAACTGCTAGCAATAGTTGTAACACAAATGGAGAAATTCCATCCCATCCTCGGAAATGGAACAGTAATGCTCCATTTTAAAATTAGTAGATTTAAAAAAAAGTATCTCCACCAGCAAATCTATTTTGAATCACTTGCATTGTCCCTAAATAAAATAAACACAAACTCTCTCAAGAAAAGCTTGAGAGACCTAATAATTATGATGCCACATCATGGGTTGCTTCTTCTCACCAATTTTGAATCCAGTTCCAGAAGTACCTGTCCCTTCTGTGGAAGTGGTGGCCTCTGATGGAAGAAAGAGGAGAATGAAAAAGGCTGGGAATTTAGAATACTGGAAGAAGATATTGGGATATTACTTTACCATAGAAGCCATAAAAGAAATATGACAGCTGACATTAAATAAAAATTTACTTCTTGTTAAGCTACCTGTGTTAGAACTTCCAGATATAAAGTTCGTTCCAGAAAATTCTCCAGTGGTACCTAAAATGCCAAAAAAAAAAAAAAAGTTGGGGGGAAGGAAATAAAGCAACAGAGCATTTTGTCTCCAATTAAACTTGGAAGCATCAATGTAGCCCTAAAGCACTGGAAGCCCTCTCATGTGGACACTGTTTCTGTAGAGAATGGAAAATGATCACCTTCCTATCATTTCATTTTCCAGGCCCGCACGATGGATAGGTTGCTGCTGGGATACCCTTTCACTGAGGCAAGCGGGGAATAGGGCTTTAAATCACCCTGACCTGTTTCCTTTCCAGGAACATATCCCTCTGGTGTGACAGAGGTACCTACAGGAGATATAAATCATTGTTTATATTTATAAGTAGGACTGTGTGATACAACTTGGGGCATTTTAATAATCAGTTGTCTTCCTGAAGCTTTCTAGTGAGGGGAGAGAGGAAACAAACATCATGTGTAAGTATATGAGAAAAATGATAAAAAGTATCAAGCTGTGAGTGGAAAGGCTGGGTAAGGGAATAGGAAGTCCTGGAAGGTTGGAATATATGAAATATTTTCTAATATGTTTAATCAGAAAAAAATAATGTCTCCATAAACTAGAATAGTGCAGACAGCTTGGCTGACAATCCAAGTCATGAAATTTACAAGTCTAATATCTGACCAAGGTTGATATGACACAATATGGCTGAGGAGAAAATGCAGGCCCTTCCTTCAAATGCGTTCACATTATTTGTTCCCTGTACCCACCCTGATAGAGAGATGATGAGAGCCCCAGGTCTCAGTCTGCCAAGCTCACCTCTGGGTAATCCTGCTCAGGTGGCCCCGCTGCCTCCTGAGAAAGTTGTGGCCTCTGAGAGAGAAAGGAATTGGAGGTATGAAGACTGCACAGGACATTCTGGGGTCCCATAAGCTTATTGGCCAAGGGCCATGTTCTGAATGCCTGACCTGTGTGGACACTTCCATCTTTCAGAGTTCTGCCAGAAATGCCCTCAGTAGTACCCCAAATAGGAAAGGATTATGGACAGTTGGTCAATTTGTTGCCCCTTATGATATAAGCATAGGCTCTTAAAGAAAAAAACTTTTTTCTTCAATACAACAGAAAATTTATTTCTCTGCAGTTTGTATTTTAATACTTAATCCATATATTATTCATTATATAAACTATAATTCCCTCAGCAAGTTTACAGAGAAAGTCCTCTACCAGCAAGTTCCATTTTTTAGGGTTTAGATACAGAAAGATAGATTTGGGCCCAAGTCACATATATAGCTGTCAGGGAATGGGCCCCATGATATCCTGATAAAGGGATTTTAGAGCCAAGGCACAAGAAACAAGGAGAAAATGTTGAAGTGTCTGACCTATATTTATTGATGTTAAATTTTGAACATCTGTTAAATTTTTGCCTAATATGCCAAATATGGAAAATTCAAAAACTTTTGTCATATTTCAAGAAAGACATGGGAAATTATAACAAAGTACACTTAGTTCCTTAACAGAACTCACCTGTGATTACTTCGGCTCTTGTTATTCTGCTTTCTTCTACAGAAGTTGTGGCCTCTGCAAAACAGGGAAAAAGAATGGCAGTGAGGGCAAAGATTAGAAGAATCTGAGAAGAGTACGGTAGGGTCACCCAGGCAGACACCTCACTGAGGAGCACTTTCCAAGCAGTGGTTCCTCCCAGCCTGGTGCTTTACCTGAGTTGGAGCTCCCAGGGGTGACTCTTGTACCAGAGGGCACTCCAGCTGTGCCAAGGTAGAAAAGAAAAGAGAAAGATGGATATGGGAACTCTTTCATGACCCTTGGAAAAATGTGGCCAACAGTATGTCTATTTGTGACTTTGAAGCAAGAAAGCACACTTCCTGAAATTATAACTGACATGAGGACTAACAGGCTTCCGGTTTATTGTGTGCTTTTGCAAAGCCAAGGGTAACGCAGTGGCTAATATTCCTGCCCCGAATATTATTACCAAGATTTGTTCAAAGTTGAAGGTCATATGAAAGGCTTTCCCCAAGTTTACCTGTCCTACTTTCTGGTGCTGTAGTGGTGGTTCCTACTGAAAATCAAAAGAGAAAGGGAGAAGAAAGAAGAGGAGAAAACAAGAAAGAACAAGAAGGAAGAAAGACAATTTTGAATTTTTATCTCTAAACTAAAATATGACATCTTGGTGATTTCTACATTGTAGAAATCAGTACACTAATGGCATACAGACTATGCCCTTTTCAAAGGGAAAACCTTTTCAAAACCAGAGCTATTATTGCAAGTCTCCTCTCCAGAGACCTAGAACCCTGAGGTTAGTCTCTCAGAAGGGAAAGACTTTAGAAATTTTGGTCTCAAGAGTTTACAAGTCCAAATCCAAGAACAAACTCTGTTTTCTTGAAATATTACAGCCTCAAAGGAAATTTAAACCCACATTCCACATTAAAAAGATTCTCTGCATTATCTATGATAATTTTCTGTAATTTAAATTTATTTTCAAATAAAAAGCTCATTAAAAATTTTTCTCTAAGAAATCGATCAAAGAACAACAATAAATACAAATACTCCAAAGTCTTTACCTAATTTTATTTTTGCTCCAGTGGTGCCACTTCCTCCTAGGGAAGTTGTGGTCTCTAAAAGATGAAAAGAAACCAAAATTAATTGAGTATTAAGAAAGAGGTATGAGCTAAGCTGATGTCATTACATGAGATAACCTCAATTCAAAATGTCTTGACACTTTCTATTAAGTCAGAAAAGAAGGCCTTCTGACTTTAAAAGTAATGAAAACCATAAATATACAAATTTAATTGTGAAAATGAGAAGATACATCATTTATAAATTTATTTTACTAATTGAAGCTTAGGTATTTCTTAATTGGAATAAGATATGTAAACCTCTAATTTAAAAAGCAGATACAGTGAGGAACTCATAAATGATCGACATGCTCATTACTATTATCATCATTATTTATTGCTTTAAGTATTAGACTTTTCATGTGTAAGAATTTTTCCAGTGGCTATTACACTGGAACTTGGAATTAGAGAGGTATAGGAATCAATATTTTTACTCTTTACACAGAATGAAAAGAAAATGGCCTTCGATGGGGTGAGGTTAATCTCTGTTGTCTTAATGTGTCAAAAAGCATTTTTCAGAGGTTTCTAGAACCTGAAGTTCATCTATATTTTTTCATGTACCATTTCTATAGATTATTTAATGAGAAAAATTTTAATAGCTATTATTTTCTTTATATATCACTGAGAGAAAGAAAGACCTTTCTCTCCAATCAAACAACTGATGCTCAGTGCCTTAGCTCCGTGGTGAAGTCTCCTTGAAGCAGAAGAAAGGAAGATAAAGGCATTTGAGTGTCCAACTTTTACATATTAGGTAAAATCTGGCCTATTTGTAAAATTTTTTTTTTAAATGCCCTACACAGGAAGTACAAACGGTAGATGTGATCAAGGCAAGGTGACCTACTGGGAAGGAGGTAGTGGATTGTCAGTTCTTACTTGTAGTTGTTGTAACCCCAGTCATTCCACTTGCTCCAGGAGAAGTTGTGGCTGCTGGAAGAAGAAGGACACAAATGGAAAAGATTCAGGGGGCATGGAATGGAATGGTGGAGCTCCTGCATAGAAACACCAGAAGGAAAGACCTGTTACTGTAGCAAGCACCTGTGAAAGGACTCTCCGCCACACAGTGGACTCACCTGTGCTGAAACTTCCTGGGGCAACCGTTGTGGCAGGAGCTACCTCTGAGGTGCCTGAAACACAAAGAAACTGAGGTGATCACAGTGAACGAGTAAGTCAAATGAGGACCCGAATCTAAAAGGTATATGCTATATTTCTGTATTTATTTGCCATAACAGAATCCTCTTTCTCTGAGCACGAGGCAAGTGGAAAATTTGATGTATTTGTCTGCTTTCAGCAATTCATAACAAAAGGAGATACAATGTTTCCAAGTACAAGCACAACTGAAAATTTGATAAGAGAGAAACTAGATGCATTTTCCCAATGCTCAGCTGCTTGCTTCCCTGGTGCTGCAGTGATGCCTGCTGTGAGATAGAAAGAGGAGGAAAAAGAGTTTGAATGTATTGAACTTCACATGTAGGAGAAAATACTGAGCCAGCATTTTTGTTCAAATGTACACGTTAAATGTATGTGTCCTGGTTCCACAGAGCTCTTCTGTTTCACACACATGCACTGAAACTTTCTGAATTCCACCTAAACTGCTAGCGAGAGTTGGAACATAAATGGAGAAGTGCATCGTATCCTCAGAAATGAAGCAGTAATGATCCACTTTAGAATTAGTGGATTTTCAAAACAAAACGTACCTCCACTAGCAAATCTATTTTGAATCACTTGCAATGTCCCTAAATAACACAAACACAAACTCTCTCTAGAAAAGCTTGAGAGACCTAATACTTATGATGCCAAATCATGGGCTGTTTCTTCTCACCAGTTTTGAATCCAGTTCCAGAAGTACCAGTCCCTTCTGTGGAAGTGGTGGCCTCTGATGGAAGAAAGAGGAGAATGAAAAAGGCTGGGAATTTAGAATACTGGAAGAAGATATTTTATCAGAGAAGCCTTAAAAAAATCATGACATCTGACATTAAAATAAGAGGTATTTCTTGTTAAGCTATCTGTGTTAGAACTTCCAGATATAAAGTTCGTTCTAGACAATTCTCCAGTGGTAACTAAAATGCAAAAAAAAAAAAAAAAAAAAAAAAAAAAAAAAAGAAAGGAAATAAAGGAATAGAGCATTTTTGTCTCCAGTTAAGCTTGGAAGCATCAATGTAGCCCTAAAGCACTGGAAGCCCTCTCCTGTGGACACTCTATTTCTATAGCGAATGGAAAATGAACAACTTCCTAGCACTTCATTTTCCAGGCCAACATGCGATGGATGTGTTGCTTCTGGGATTCCCTTTCACTATGAGGCAAGAGAAAAATAGGGTTTAAATCAACCTGACCTGTTTCACTCCTAGGAATATATCCCCCTGGTGTGACAGAGGGGCCTACAGGATGAAAAAATCATTGTTTTATACTTATAAGCAGGACTGTGTGATACAACTTGGGGCATTTTAATAATCAGTTGTCTTCATGAAGCTTTCTAGTGAGAGGAGAGAGGAAATCAACATCATGTGTAAGTGTATGAGAAAAATGAGAAAAAAGTATCAAGCTGTGAGTGAAAAAGCAATGTGGGTAGGGGAATAGGAAGTCCTGGAAGGCAAAAATATATGAAATATTTTTAAATATCTTTTATGAGAAAAAATAATATCTCCATAAGCTAGAATAGTACCTGCCTGACTATCCAAGGTCATGAAATTCAGGAGCAGAATAACTGACCAGGTTGACAGGACACCATATTGCCCAGAATAAAATGCAGGCCCTACTTCAAATGCCTTCACTATTTGTTCTCTGTAGCTACCAGATAGAGACATGATGAGAGCCTCAGGCCTAAGCCTGACAAGCTCACCCCCGGTGTGGTCCTGCTTGGGTGGTTCTGCTGCCTCCTGGGAAAGTTGTGGCCTCTGAGAGAGAAAGGAATTAGAAGTATGAAGACTGCCCTGGACATTCTATGGCCCCATAACCTGTATTTCCCAAAGGGCCATGTTCAGAATTCCTGACCTGTGTGGGCACTTTTAGCCTCCAGAGTTCTGCCAGAGATGCCCTCAGTAGTACCTGAAAAAGGAAAAGATTGAGGTCAGTCGGTCAGTTTGTTGCTCCTCATGATATGGGCATAGGCTCCTAAAGAAAAAAAAAACAAATTTTTTCTTTAATAAAACAGAAAATTTATTTCTCTGGAGTTTGCATTTTTAAGAGTTGATCCATCCATTGCCCATAGAACCTATAATTCCCTCAGAAAGTTTACAGAGAAAGTCCTCTGCCACTGAATTTTATTTTTAGAATTTCAGTCCAGAAAGATAGATTTGGGCCAAAGTCACCTATATAACTGTCAGGGAATAGGCCTTATGATGCCCGGATGAAGGGTTCCAAGACCCAAGGCAAAAGACATAAGGGAAAAACGTTGAAGTATCTGAACTATATTTATTGATATTAAATATTGAACATCTGCTAAATTTTTGCCTAATATGCCAAATATAGAAAATTTTAAAACTTTTGCCATATTTCTATCAAGACATGGGAAATTACAACAAAGTAAACTTAGTTCCTTAACAGAGCTAACCTGTGATTGTTTCAGCTCCTGTTTTTCCACTTTCTCCTACAGAAGTTGTGGCCTCTGCAAAACAGGGACAAAGAACAGCAGTGAGGGCAAAGATTAGAAGCATCTGAGAAAAGCATGGTAGGGTCACCCAGGCAGATGCCTCACTGAGGAGCCCTTTCCAAGTAGTGGTTCCTCCCAGCCTGGTGCTTTACCTGAGTTGGAGCTCCCAGGGGAGACTGTTGTAGCAGAGGGCACTCCAGCTGTGCCTAGGTAGGAAAGAAGAGAGAGGGATCTACATGGGAACTCTTTTGTGACCCTAGAAAAATGTGGCCAACAGTAGGTCTATTTGTGACTTTGAAGCAAGAAAACACACTTCCTGGACTTATAACTGACATAAGGACAACCATGTTTCAGATTTATTGTGTTTCTTTACAAGGCCAAGGTTAATGCAGTAAGCAATATCCCGCCTTCATCATAATGATTATTGTTATGCCAATGTTGAAGGTCCTATGAAAGGCTTTCCCCAAGTTTACCTGTCCTACTTCCTGGTGCTCCAGTGGTGGCTCCACATGAAAAGAGATTAGGAGAAGAAGAGGAGAAGGAAAGAAGAAGAAAGAAGAAAGAAAATCTTAAATTTTTATCTATGAACAGGACACAAATGTTATACAGACTATGCTCTTTTCAAACGGAAAACCACTTCAAAGCCAGAGCTATTATTGCAACTCTCCTCTCCAGAGACCTAGAACCCTGAGGTTAGTCTCCCGAAAGGAAAGACTTTAGGAACTTTGGACTCAAGAGTTTACAAATTCAAATCTAAGAAGAAACTCTGTTTCCTTGAAATACTATAGCCTCAAAGGAAATTTAAAACCACACTCCATATTAAAGGGAATCTCTACATTATCTGTGATAATTTTCTGTAATTTAAATTTATTGCCAAATTAAGAGCTCATTAAAAAAATTTCCTCTAAGAAATTTATCAAAATACAACAATAAACATAAATACCTCAAAGTCTTTACCTGATTTTATTTCTGCTCCAGTGGTGCCACTTCCTCCTAGGGAAGTTGTGGTCTCTTGAAGAAAACCAAAATTAATTGAGTATTAAGAAAGAGAAATGAGCTAAGCTGATGTCATTACAAGAGAACTCAATTCAAAATGTCTGGACACTTTCTATTAAGTCAGAAAAGAAGGCCTTCTGACTTTAAAAGTAATGGAAAACATAAATATATAAGTTTAATTGTTAAAACGGAGAGATACAGCACTTGTAAATTTATCTTCTTAATTGGACCTTAGGTATTTCTTAATTGGAATAAAATATGTAAACCTCTAATTTAAAAAGTGGATATAGTAAGGAATTCATAAATGATCAATATGCTCATTACTATAATCATCATTATTTATTGCTTTAAGTATTACACTCTTCATGTGTAAAAGTTTTGCCAGTGGCTACCACATTGGAACTTAGAGTGATAGGAATCAATATTTTTATTCTTTACACATAATGAAAAGAAAACAACCTTTGATGGGCTCAGGGAACTCTGTTTTGTTAATGTGTCAGCAAGCTCTTTCAGAGGTTTCTAGACCAGGAGTTAATCTATATGTTTTGCATGCACCATTTCTATAGAATATTTAATGAGAAAAATGTTAATAGCTATTATTTCCTTTATATATCATTGAGGGAAAGAAAGACTTTTCTCTCCAATCACACAACTGATGTTCAGTGCCTTAGCTCCATGGTGAAGTCTCCTTGAAGCAGAGGAAAGGAAGATAAAAGTATTTGAGTGTCTGACATTTATGTATTAGGTAAAATCTTGTCCATTTGGAATAGTGTTTTTTTTTTCCAACAAAAATGCTCTTCACAGGACGTACAAATGGTACATGTGATTGAAGCAATGTGACCTACTGTGAAGGAGGTAGTGGATTGTCAGTTCTTACTTGTAGTTGTTGTAACCCCAGTCGTTCCACTTGCTCCAGGAGAAGTTGTGGCTGCTGGAAGAAGAAAGACACAAATGGAAAAGATTCAGGGGGCATGGAATGGAATGGTGGAGCTCCTGCATAGAAGCACCAAAAGGAAAGGCATGTTACTGTAGCAAGCACCCATGAAAGGATTCCCCACCACAGAGTAGACTCACCTGTGCTGAAACTTCCTGGGGCAACTGTTGTGGAAGGAGCTACCTCCGAGGTGCCTGGAACACAAAGAGACTGAGGTGATCATAGTGAATGAGTAAGTCAAATGAGGACCCAAATCTAAAAGGGATATGCTGTATTTCTGTATTTATTTGCCATAACAGAAATCTCTTTCTCTGAGCACAGGGAAGGTGGAAAACTAGATGTATTTCCTGCTTTCAACAGTTCATAACAAAAGGAGATAGAGAGACAATGTTTCAAGTACAAACACAACTGAAAACTTGACAAAAGAGAAACTAGATGCATTTTCCCAATGCTCACCTGCTTGCTTCCCTGTTGCTGCAGTGATGCCTGCTGTGAGATAGAAAGAGCAGGGAAGAAAGGCTTAAATGTGTTGAAATTTCAGAGATAGGAGAAAATGTTGGGCAAGCCAATTGTGGGCTACACAAGTATGGATAAATGCACCCTGTTTCCATGAGGCTCTTTTCTACTTCACGCACGTTCACACAGAAAACTTTCTGGTTTCCAGCTCAAATGCTGGTGAGACTTGTAACACAATGGAAAAATCCCATCCCAACCTCGGACTTGATGAAGGGAGGCTCAATTCTAGGATTGGTAGTTTTTCTAAATAAATAAACAAATAAATAACAGCAATCCTATTTTGAATTACTTGCAATGTCTCTAAATGAAACACAAACTCTCTCAAGGAAAGCTTGAGAGTACTAATCCTTACGAGGCCAAAGTATGGGCTGTTTATTGTCACCAGTTTTGAGTTCAGTTCCAGCAGTGCCACTCCCTACAATGGAAGTTGTGGCTTCTGAGGGAAAAAATAGAATAGTGAAGTCTGGGAATTTGGAATACTGGAGGGGATTTGGGGGTGTAATTTATCATAGCAGTCCTAAAAGAGATATTGTGACATGTGACATTAAATAAGGGCATTTCCTTCTTGTTAAACTACCTGTGGTGGAATTTTCAGATATAATGGTTGTTCCAGATAATTCTCCAGTGTCACCTAAAATGCAAAAAAGGAAAATGGAACTATAGAGCATTATCTCCCCAACTAAGCTTGGAAGCATCAATGTGGCCCTAAAGCACTAGAAGCCCATTCCTGAGGACACTATTTCTATAGAATAAAAAATGAACAGCTGCTTAGCACTGGGCTTTCCAGGCCAACATGGGATAGATGTGTGGCTACTGGGTTTCCCTTTCACTACAAGGCAAGGGGAGAATAGGGCTTTAGATCACCCTGAACTGTTTGCCTTCCAGAGACATAGTGCTGTGACAGAAGTGCCTACAGGAGAAACAAAGCATGGTTTTATCTTTATAAGTAGAACTCTTTCATGCAACTTGAGGCATTTTAATAATCAGTTGACTTCATGAAGCTTTCTAGTGAGGGGATACAGAAAATAAGCATCATGTATAATTAAAGGAGAAAAATGATAGAAAATGTCAAGCTGAATAAAAAGGAATGAGATCACGTCTTCTGCAGGCACATGGATGGAGCTGGAGGCCATCATCCTCAGCAAACTAACACAGGAACGGAAAACCAAAAACTGCTTGTTCTCACTCATAAGTTGGGGTTGAGCAATGAGATCACATGGCCAAGAGGCCACGTTCAGAGTGCCTGACCTGTGTGGGCACTTCCAGCTTCCAGAGTTTTCCCAGAGATGCCCTCAGTAGTACCTGAAATAAGAAAGGATTGTAACTGGTCAATTTGCGGTCCTTAATTTAACAGGCATGGGCTCTTAATAATAAAACAAATGAAATGTTTGTTTCTTTAATATACCAGGAAATTAATTTTTCTGGACTTTAATTTTGAGAGTGAATCCACACTTTGCCCATGAAACATATCATTCCCTGAGCAAGTTTACTGTGATTTGTTCTCAGAGAAAGTCCTCCACCACTAGTCCCTTTCTTAGGGTTTAATGATAGCAGTGTACACTTGGGCCCAAATCATCTATGTAACTGTCAGGGAATGGGTCTCATGATGCTGTGATGAAGGATCCATAGACACACAGTGCAAGACATAAGGAGGAAAAGTTGAAAGGTCTGTACTGGATTTATCGATGTCAAATATTGGACTTCTGTTAGATGTTCCTTAATATGCTAATTCTGGGAAATCCAAAAAGTGTTTACATATTTCAGGCCAGACTCTTGGGAAGGTTTTAGGAATAGTTAATATCTTAACAGAGCTCACCTGTGATTATTTCAGCTTTTGTTGTTTCTCTTTCTCCTACAGAAGTTGTGGCCTCTGAGAAAGAGGAAAACAGGACAGGAGTGATGAA
Source organism: Homo sapiens (assembly GCF_000001405.40). Classification (NCBI taxonomy): domain Eukaryota; kingdom Metazoa; phylum Chordata; class Mammalia; order Primates; family Hominidae; genus Homo; species Homo sapiens. The sequence continues at coordinate 40,516,579 of NC_000012.12, read as the reverse complement.
CAATATTTCAAGACCATGGAAAACTTAAGGTGGTTCTCCTACCCAGGATAACACTGAAGGAGAATTTGTCATAGATGGACTCCTGGAGGAATCTGCCACCTCAGGGACTCACCTGTGTTGGAACTGCCAGGTGCAACAGTTGTGCCAGGAGCTACCCCAGTGGTGGCTGAAACACAAAGGGTCTGTGATCATCACAGTGACTTGTGTTTGTCTTCTGAAGACCTTCCTCCAGAAGGAATCTGGGTGTATCTTTGTTATATCAAAGGGCCCTTTCACTGCTTCCTGATTAACTGAGAATCATATGCCTTTGCTATGACCCATAGCAAATTAAAAGAGCAATGGAAATAGTAATGTGCCCAAATTGAGGCCCCTCCACTGAATTTCATACATTCACTCCCAGACAAGGAAACAGGGTGGCTTTCCCTCCCCTTCACCTGTCAGGCTCCCAGTTGCTTGGCCTCCTGAGGCTGCAGGGGTGCCTGCCATGGGATGAAAACCAGAACAATGTTGTCATGTGCCAAGAACACTGGAAAATATTTCATATCATTATTGCTTTTTTGAGTAAGAAAACTTTTATACAGGATATGCTTGCTTCGAGAATTTATATTGTTTTCTTTCCAGAAATACAATATTTGTCAGCTCCCTCTACACCACAGTGGTATACGTGGTTTTGCAGGAGAAATCTGTTATGCTGACTGTACCACCAGCCCCTCTTTAGAAAGTTACAGCTGTGGGGCTAGATGTTGGTTTTAAGAGTTTTCCAGAATGTGTTCAGTGTAAGAAAACACTGAAAGTAAATGCAAACCACTACCTAGGAAAACACACTCCCAACAGGCGAGCCTAGGGAGAGTCATAATTTATGCTAAACCCTAAGCTGTGCTCTGTTCATTCTCACTGGGGCTGGATCCAGATGGAGGAACGCTGCGGCCTTCTGTTAAAGTTGCAGCCTCTGAGAGAGGAAGTGGTGAATGGTGAGATCAGAATTTGGGATATTGAGAAAACAATGAGGTTGGTATTTCATCAAAGCAGCTCTAATAACTATATTATGTGGTTAAACATGGAGATTTCCTGCTTATTAACCTACCGGTGTGGGAAGTTCTAGATATAGCAGTTGTCCCAGAGAATTCTTTTGTAGTAACTAAAAGTGGAAAAAGAAAGGGATAAACATGGCATTACCCCCTAAATCAGTTGTGGAAATAGCTATGTGGCTTTAATCCACTGGAAGAACATTCCTGAAAGCCTCTGTTTTGTAAGGAAATGAACTATAAGTGACTACCACTTCATGTCCTGGCCTGTTGCTCCTGGGGTTCCCTTTCCATAGAGCACACTGAATGTTGATGGTAACCCTATCTCCTCCTCACCTGTTTCACTTTCAGATGCTGAACTGTCTGGTGTGACAGAGGTGCCTTCAGGAGAAAAAAAGCAGATGACAGATTCATCTTTCTGAATTTTACTCATCAATTACCTCAGGCATTTTGATACTGAGAATTTGAAAATAGAACTTGTTAACTCTAATCCTCGCATATGAGGACTGTATTTAGTCCTTCCTACCTGGCCTGGAGCTCTGTGAAGTGCTGCTGGCTCCAGGTGAAACCACAGTTGTACCTATTAAGGCAAGTGGAGTGAAAAATTCTTCAAATAATACATTTCACCTTTCAACTAAGCTTTATTAAATATCTCTTTCATGTGATATTGTTTTAGGCCCTTGGGATGTATCAGTGAGCAAAATGTTCAAAGACCTCTCTCCTAATGCACCTTACATTCTAGTAACTGGAGGCCAGCAATGAACAATAAACGTAATAAATAAGTCAGTGTGAAAGATGTTAGTAAACACTTTAGGAAAAAGGCAAATTGTATAAAAGGGTCAGGGACCCTGATAAGCAGGGTTTATCCAGCAGCTTGCCCTCATCCTTGCTACATAATAACTAGCTCTGCAAGCCTGGGCTCCTGGAAATCCAGAGGGATAACCCAGGTGAGGCCAGGGAATTCCTATGCACACCCAGGTTTTGACTCTGGCATGTTATATTTCCAGGGGAAATGCAGGCTCCTTTCCTCTACCCACTTTCACACCCATGTTTTCACTGCAGAGAACAGGGATTTGATAAAAGCACCAAGGTCTTAGAGTAAAAAGCTCACCTCCTGGACGTTCTGCTTGGCTGGTGTCACTCCCTACTATGGAAGTTGTGGCACCTGAGAAAGAAAAGAAAGAAGGGGTAAAGATTAAGGTTTGGGAGACTATACACAGTGCTGTGGGCAGAGTATGTCAACCACGGTGCCCATGTCCAGATTTTGCATGTATTTTCAGACTGGCTTGTGTTGTAACTTCCAGGTTTCAGTGTTTTTCCAGAGACTACACTAGTAATACTTACAATAACAAAGAGATGGAGTCACTAGTTCAACTGTTTGTCCACTGATTTGAATAGGGATCTCAAATCCCCACTTAGAAGCAAATTGTTACTCTGACACTTGCAGTGCTAGAAGTAATTCGTACTTGTCCCATGCAACATTTCTTTCCACAGCAATTTTACTGAGACAGTTCTCAACTATAATGTCCTTCTTTTTGGCAGGGAAATTGGAATTTTCTCCCCATATTACCTATTTATCTGTCATGGTTTTACATTTCGATGCTTTAATGAAAGCCCTTCTAAGCTCAGGAAATAAGGAGGCAATATAATGACTGTCTAGTCTTTTTCTCTGTATTTTCACAATATAGCATATGCGAATCATGTAGATATTTTCAGAAGACTATTGAAGGTTTCATTAGGAATTAAAGGTCTTAGTCTAGCAGCACTCACCCGTGGCTCTTCCAATGTTTGTTGTTCCACTTACTCCTAGGAAAGTGGTGGCCTCTAAGGGAAACAAAGAGATAAGTGTTACCTGGAGAATATTTAAGGATTGTGGAGAAGATATGGTGCTACTCCTGCAAAAAATAATACAAAGGAGATATCTAATTATGGGAGGGCACGTGGAAGATTCCATGTCAACCTGTTGACTTACCTGTCTTGGAACTGCCAGGGGCAACAGTTGTGCCAGGAGCTACTCCAGTGGTGGCTGAAACACAAGAGGAACTGGCATCACCACAGTGACTCCCGCTTGTGTCCTGAAGACCTGCCTCTAGAAGGAATCTGTTTACATCAAAGGCCAGTAGTAACTGGATGTCAAAGGCCACTTTCTCTGGCTGCCACTCGGATGTGTTTTCCCATTCATTAATAAACTACCAAGTTGGGGCATTATATCTAGCATCCCACGACAGTGAGACAGATAGTTTTCTCCCATATTTACCTATTTCACCGCTAGGAGTAGAAGACAAAAAATATTTGCTTTATAATAATTGTATCTATTTCTAATTACATTTTTAATCGACACATAATTTTACATATTTCCAGCGTGAGGTTTTGATATAGATGTATACACATTGTAATAGTCAAGTCATGGTCTTTAGCATAACCATAATCTCTGACATTTATCATAGCTTTGTGGTAAGAAAATTTAGAATCCTCTTGATATGGTTTGGCTGTGTCCCCACCCAAATCTCATCTTGAAATGTAGCTCCCACAATTCACATGTGTCATGGGAGGGACCCGGTGGGAGATAGTTGAACCATGGGAGTGGGTCTTTCCCCTGCTGTTTTTATGACAGTGAATAAGTCTCACAAGATCTGATGGTTTTATAAAGGGGAGTTCCCCTGCACAAGCTCTCTCTTGCCTGTTGCCATGTAAGACATGCCTTTCGCCTTCCACCATGATTGTGAGGCCTCCATAGCCTTGTGGAACTGTGAGTCCATTAAATCTCTTTTTCTTTATAAACTATGCAGTCTTGGGTATGTCTTTATCAGCAGCATGAAAATGGACTGACACATATCTCTTCAAGGTATTTTCAAATATATACTATAATATTGCTTACTATAGGCACTCCACTGCACTATAAACCACCGGAACTAATGCCTGCTATCTAATTGTGATTTTGTACCCATTGACTTACTACTAATTATTTCTATTACTTTAGGGCAAAAAAAAAATCTATGTAGGCATGATTCCAAGATTCATATATCTCTACTTCCCAGGGTTAAAACTGCTTTTAGTTCCTACTACTACGTTGAAAATGTTTCAATGTAATGTTATGGGGAAATTTCTCAGAACAATTACATTTCATTTACACCCCAACTAGAAGAGTCAACCCATTTGAAAAGTGTATATTAAAAGGTTAAGGAAAATATTAAATTAAAAAATATATTTGGCCTCAGACAGATTGTCCCTAAATAAATTACTTAATATTCTGTAGGAAAGCCTACTTCCAAGCAAGTTATCCCGAAAGTCATGGTTCTTGGTAACTCCCCAATCATAAGCTGCCATCCTCACCTGTTCTGGATTCACTTCCGGTACTGCTCCTGTCTCCTGTGAGAGTTGTGGCCTCTGAGGAAAGAAAGAGAAGAATCAAGAGGTCTAGGAAATTTAAGATGCTGGTAAAAAGTACTGAGTTGCTATTTTATCACTGAATTTCTATAAAGTTATCACCCATGCAAGATGACGATGACCTTCTTAGTGAACTACCTGTGCTAGAACCTCCCAGTGAAATGGTTGTCCCACAGAATTTACCAGAAGTCCCTAAAATGAGAAACTAAAGGAACTAATAGAGCAAGCAGTACTGGAATCAGCAACGTGGTCCTGAACCACTGGAAGACCTTTCTTGAAAACTTGTTTCAGAAAATATGAACCATGAATAATTTTTGCCAACTTACTAATGTTTTTATACTGACTATCCCTTCCCCTGTACTCTACTGAAAAAGGAAGCTTAACTTCACTTTCTTGATTTCACTTCAAATGTTGTGCTTTTCTTGTGCTCCCAGGAAGGAGAAAAAGACTTGAACATTCTAAATGTTCTCATATCAATAACCGGCGATATTGTGCTTATCATATGCTGAGCAATGCCCTCCTATGAGATATTTATACCTTCCTCTGCTGACTTTAAGTAGTTCATCCTACCTTGCTTGGGACCCTGCGAACTGCTGCTGACACCAAATGAAACTGTGGTGGTAGCTGCTAAATTAAACATAGTGACACTCTGCATAAGAATATACCAGTCACCCATCTCACATTATGGAAGCATTTCCTGTGTGCCTGACATCCACTTCTCAGAGACAAGAATAGACAGAGGTCTCTGTCTCATGTGATCTACATTTATGGGAGAGAGAAAACACGAAATAAACAAGAAGTAAAATAAATATGCTCGAGAGATGGCAGTAGGTGATAGTGCTATGCAGAGTCATGATGACCTGAGTGGGGAGAATCAGGGTTCTGGGGATGCTGCTGCAGGTCAGTGGGCCTCAGACAGGTGTCCAGAGAACTAACACTGTCACACGGGCCATGGGGCAACACCTAACTTAGATAACCCTGTGTCTGAAACTCCTTAGCAGAACTACTCAGATTGGCCAGAATACATGTTGTCCTTCCAGACAAGAAGTAACCCCCTTTCCTTGGCCCCGTTTCTCATTTATGTGTTATCCTGAGCACAAAACGACGATGAGAACTCTGAAGCCTGGGACTGATGAAGCTTACCTCCTGGAGCTTCTGATCTGGTGGTCCTGACCCCTCTGGTGGAACTTGTGGCCTCTGAGAGAAAAGAAAGCAAGGATGACATCTACAGTATGGGAATTACAGGGTTATGTAACCCTAGGAGCCTGTCGCCCGAGCAGCCATGGTGTTGCATTCCCTGTGTGCTTGTGGACTTGCCTGTGTTGTTGTTCCCAGGTTCCAGAGTCTTTCCAGAGAAAGCCCCAGTGGTAGCTATTAAGAAACAGATGGGTAATAATGGGTAAGTACCTCATCATCATCAAGTGGACAGAGAATAACAACCTCATAAATGGATAAATCTGTATACTTATTCAATATCTCAGGAAACTGGGCTTTAAATCCCAAAAGGTCAACTATATATTCCTCATGTAATATCCTTCCCACAGTATAGTACCAAAAGAATTTAACTTATTGGGTCTCCATTTAGCTAGAGTTCTGGAAGAGGCTTCTAGCAGCTATCACTCTAGATTCTCTATGTAACTGTCCAATGGCTGCATGATTACCTTGGGGACTAGTGGGAGGGTCTGCTTAAAGTACAGAAATATATTAAATTTTGAGTTTCTGATTTGCTATCACTGAGTTGCTATTTCTGTGTGTCTGATTTGCTATTAATTTCAATAGCAAACCTGCAGTTACTTTTGCACAAACTTGATATACTTAATAAATGAAGGTAAGATCTTACCTAACAATGTTCCATGTGAAAAAATATGTGACATGCATACATTTCAAGCAATAACCTTTCATGGATATTATTAAAGAGTGAGTGCAACGACCGAGCAATGCTCACCGGTGGTTATTCTACCTCTTGTCATTGCACTTCCACCTAGGGAAGCTGTGGCCCCTGAGAGACAGAAAAACAGGGAAGGCATATTAGGAAATATTCAAGGACCATGAAAAGAAGACGATACAACTTCTTGAAAGAACAGCAGCAGAGGAGACATCGAACATCGAAATATGGGAGGAGCTCTGAAGGTTCCCTGGCAACCCGCAGACTCACCCGTGTTGGAACTGCCAGGGGCAAGAGTTGTGCCAGGAGCTGCCCTGGTGGTGGCTGAAACACAAAGAAGAGTGGGATCACCATGGTGATCAACCTTTCCCTTTCCTATAGGCCTGCCTCTAAAAACTACCCAGACTTATCTGAATTATTTATGAATGGTGCTTTCACTGATTCTTCCTGATATGGTGCCCTGTATATTTTCTCCTTGTCCATTTTACTAGCAAAACAATCAAGAGGTCCGAATCCTTAACTTGAGACCATATGTCTGGTCTTCATCAGGAGACAGGTAGTGTTCCCCTTATTTACTATTTTATGCCCCGGAATATGGAAGACCAAAACAATTTCCCTGGGACTCTTATGCGTCAAGAATATACTAAACATTTCTGTTGTTTCTGAGGCATGAAAACCATTATTTATGTATGTTTCTAAGGTTCATTTAAGTTATCTCTTCTTCCCTAGATCAAAACTGTTCATAGTTCCCAGTAACACCCTGGCAACGTTTCTATGTAACCTCACAGGAGAAACTTCTCAGAACAAATGCAATAGATACCCCAATTTAAAAGAGGCTACTGGTAAAGTTTTAGAAAATATAAAATCTAAAGGAAGTTCTACTGGGCCTAAGATTCATTATCCCTAAATGAATGCATAATATTCTGCAGAAAAGTCCACTTCCAAACAAGTCATCCTAATGAGAGTCAAGCTTCACAGTAACACGTGAATTATGGGCTGCTCATCCTCACCTGCTCTGGATTCAGTTCCAGTACTGCCCTTGCCTCCTGTTAAAGTTGCGGCCGCTGAGAAAAGAAAGAATAGGATCAAGAGGTCTGGGAGACACTGGCAAAAAGCATTAAGTTGCTATTTTATGATTGCAGCTCTACAAAGTCATCATGCATTCAAAATGAGGATTTCCTTCCCATTCAACTACCTGTGTAGGAACCTCCAGATGTAATTCTTGTCCCAGGGAATTCACCAGAAGTACCTACAATGAGAAAGTAAAGCAGCTAATAGGACAAACAACACTGGAAACAGCAATACTGCCTTGATACACTGGAAGACCTTTCCTCATAATCTCTGTTTCTGAAGGAAATGAATCGTGAATGGTTTTCCCTACAATGTATACACTATTGTTTTGCTGCTGGCTATTTTTTCTATCACGGTCTATTTAAAAAGAGGGAAGTTTAATCTCACTTTTTAGGTTTCACATCCAGTGACTTGGCTCTCTAGTGATCCAGGAGCAAGAAAAAGTCTTGAACATTCTAAGTGTTCTCCTTTGTGGAAAAGGTAATATTGTAATTATCATGTTTTTAAGAATAAACACATAGGAGATGTTTATAGATTCATTTAGTGTTTTTCTGTAGCCTGTGCCAGCTGGCATGGGATCCTGTGAACTGCTGCTGACACGAAGGGAAATGAGGGTGGTAGCCATTGAAGTAAACAGAGTGACATTCTACATAAGAATATGCCTGTCACTCCTCTCATATTCTGGAAGCATTTCCACTGTGTCTGACAGTCTTCTGTCAATGAGAAGAAGAGACAAGGGTCTCTGCCACATGTGATTTACATTTGTGGGAGAAAGAACAGAGGAAATAAACAAGAAGTGTAAAAAACATGTTAGTGAGATAGTAGCAGGTGATTGTACTTTGCAGAATCATGATGAGCAGAACGGGGAGAATCAGTGTTCCAGGAAGGCTGCTGTAGCTCAGTGGGCCACAGACAGGTGTCTAGAGAACTAACATTGTCACCCAGGCCATGGCGCAATGCCTGACTTAGATGGCCCAGTTTCTGAAATTCCTTAGCAGAACTACTCAGGATGGCCACAGTACATGTTGTCCTTCCAGACAAGAAGTAACCCCCTTTCCTTGGCCCCGTTTCTCATTTATGTGTTACCCTGAGCACAAAATGACAATGATGAGAACTCTGAAGCCTTGGATTGACGAAGCTTACCTCCTGGTGCTTCTGACCTGGTGGTCCTGACCCCTCTGGTGGAACTTGTGGCCTCTGAGAGAAAAGAAAACAAGGATGACATCTACAGTATGGAGAGTGCAGGGTTATGTAACCCTAGGAGCCTGTCACCCGAGCAGTCATGGCATAGCATTCCCTGTGTGGCTGTGGACTTGCCTGTGTTGTCATTCTCAGATTCGAGAGTCTTTCCAGAGAAAGCCCCAGTGGTAGCTATTAAGAAAGAGATGGGTAGTCATGGGTCAGTACCTCATCATCATCAAGTAGGCAGAGAATAACAACCTCATAAATGGATAAATCTGTATACTTTTTCAATATTTCAGGAAACTGGGCTTTAAATCCCAAAAGGTCATCCATATACTCCTCATATAATACCCTTCTCATGGTATAGTACCAAAGGAATTTTTACTTATTGGGTCTCCATTTCTCTAGGGTTCAGGAATAGGGTCCTAGCAGCTATCACTCTAGATTCTCTATTTAACTGTCCAATGGCTACATGATTACCTGAAGACTAAAGGAAGTGTTTGCTTAAAGTATAGAAAGAAATTAATTTTCAGTTTCTGATTTGCTATCACTGATTTGCTATTTCTGAGTTGCCAATTTGTTATGATCTGCAATAGCAAAACCGCAATTACTTTTGCAGCTACCTGATATAATTAATGAATGAAGGTAAGATTTTACCTAACAATGCTCAGTGGTGAAGAAATGTGTGACATGAATACATTTAAAGCAATAAGGTTTATTGGATATTATTAAAAAGTGAGTCCAATGACCCAGCAATGCTCACCGGTGGTTATTCTACCTCTTGTCATTGCACTTCCACCTGGGGAAGCTGTGGCCCCTGAGAGACAGAAAAACAAGGAAGGTATATTAGGAAATACTCAAGGACCATGAAAAGAACATGATACAACCTCTGGAAAGAACAGCAGCAGAGGAGACATCGCACATTGAAATATGGGAGGAGCTCTGAAGGTTCCCTGGCAACCTGCAGACTCACCTGTATTGGAACTGCCAGGGACAAGAGTTGTGCCAGGAGTTGCCCTAGTGGTGGCTGAAACACAAAGAAGAGTGGGATCACCATGGTGATCAACTTTTCCCTTTCCTCTAGGCCTGCCTCTAAAAACTATCTAGGCCTATCTGAATTATTTATAAATGGTGCTTTCCATGATCCTTCCTGATGTCATGCCCTGTATATTTTCTGCATATCCATTTTACTAGCAAAACAATCAGGAGGTCCAATTCCTTAAGTTGAGGCAATATTTCTGGTCTTCCATCAGGAAACAGGTGGTGGTCCCCATGTTCACCATTTTACTCCCTGGAATATGGGAGACAAACAATTTTCCTGAGACTCTTACAAATCAAGAATATACCAAACATTTCTCTTGCTTCTAAGGCATGAAAACCACTCTTTAGGAATGTTTCTAAGGTTCATTTAAGTTATCTCTTCTTCCCTACAACAAAACTGTTCATAGTTCCCAGTAACACCCTGGCAACGTTTCTATGTACCCTCACAGGAGAAACTTCTCAAAACAAATGCAATAGATATCCCACTTTGAAAGAGGCTATTGGTAAAGTTTTAGAAAATATAAAATCTAAAGGAAGTTCTCCTGGGCCCAAGATTCATTATCCCTAAATAAATGCATAATATTCTGCAGAAAAGTCCACTCCCAAAAAAGTCATCCTAATGAGAGTCAAGATTCATGGTAACATGTGAATTACGGGCTGCTCATCCTCACCTGCTCTGGATTCAGTTCCAGTACTGCCCTTGTCTCCTGTGAAAGTTGTGGCCTCTGAGAAAAGAAAGAATAGGATCAAGAGGTCTGGGAGACACTGGCAAAAAACACTGAGTCACTATTTCTTGACTGCAGCGCTACAAAGTCATCATGCATTCAAGATGAGGATTTCCTTCCCATTCAACTACCTGTGTGGGAACCTCCAGATGTAAATGTTGTCCCTGGGAATTCACCAGAGGTACCTACAATGAGAAAGTAAAGCAGCTAATAGGACAAACAACACTGGAAACAGCAATGCTGTCTTGATCCACTGGAATATCTTTCCTCATAATCTGTTTTGGAGGGAAATGAACCATAATGGTTCCCTGCAATGTATCCACTATTGTTTTGCTACTAACTACTTCTTCCATCACAGCCTATTTAGAAAGAAGGATGTTTAATCTGACTTTACAGATTTCATGTCCAGTGACTTGGGTCTCTAGTGATCCAGGAGCAAGAAAAAGTCTTGAACATTCTAAGTGTTTTCCTTTGTGGAACAGGTAATACTGTGATTATCATGTTTTTAAGAATAAATACATGGATGTTTATAGCTTCCTTTAGTGTCTTTATGTAGCCTATGCCAACTGGCATGGGATTCTGTGAGCTGTTGCTGACACCAAGGGCAACTTCTACATAAGAATATGCCTGTCACTCATCTCATATTCTAGAAGAATTTTCACTGTATCTGACAGTGAGAAGAAGAGAGAAAGGTCTCTGCCTCATGTGATTTACATTTGTGGGAGAGGAAACACAGGAAGTAAACAGGAAGTGTAATAAATACGTTTGAGAGATGGCAGCAGGTGATAGTACTTTGCAGAATCATCATGAGCAAGTGGGGACAATCAGGGTTCCAAGAAGACTGCTGCAGGTCAGTGGGCCTCAACCAGGTGTCCAGACAACTAACACTGTCACACAGGCCATGGAGCAATGCCTGACATACATAACCCAGTGTCTCAAATTCTTTAGCAGGAATACTCAGGATGGTCAGAATACATGTTGTGCTTCCAGGCAAGAAGTAACCCCCTTTCCTTTGCCCCCATTCTCACTTATGTGTTCACCTCAGCATAACAGGGAAATGAGGAGAACCCTGAGGTCTGGGACTGGTGAACCTTACCTCCTGGAGCTTCTGATCCGGTCGCCCTGATCCTTCCTGTGGAACTTGTGGCCTCTGAGAGAAAAGAAAGCAAGCATGAAGTCTGCAGTATGGGGAGTACAGGGTTACGTTGCCCTAGGAGACTGCCATCTGAGCAGCCATGGTGTAGCATTCTCTGTGTGCTTTTTGACTTGCCTGTGTTGTCAATCCCAGGTTCCAGAGTCTTCCCAGAGAATGCCCCACTGGTAGCTATTAAGAAAGGGATGGGGCAGTGGTGGGTCATTACCTCATTACCATGAAGTGGGAAATGAGTATTAAGCAAATAAATAGACACAGGCTGTATACTTATTTATTATTTCAATAAATTGGCCTTTAAATGTCAAAAGCTAATCTCTACACTTCTCAAATAATATTCTTCCCATGGTATATTTGCCCAATTTTTTTTAACTTATTAGGCTTCCTTTTCTCAATATTTCATGAATAGGAAAATAGAAGCTAACTCTAGATTTTCTATGTAACTGTCAGTCAAATGGCTGCATGTTTTCCTTGGGGGGCAATAGAAGAGTCTGTTCAACCACAAAAAATAAGAATGAAATTTGAGATTCTATATTTAGTCAGTGAAAAATGGTAGGAACTTTCCTAACAATGTTAATATGGGAGAAATGAGAGTATGGATACTTTTCAAACCACAGGCTTTATTGAATATTATTACCAGGTGAGTGCAATGACCCAGCAATGCTCACCTGTCAGTATTCCACCTCTTGTTTTTGCACTTTGTGGTAGGGAAGTTGTGGACTCTGAGAGACAGAAAAACAGAAAAAACATATTTGGAAAATATTCAAAGGCCATGAAACAGATATGACATTACTCTCATAAACAATAACACCAAAAGAAATATCTAATTATGAGAGGAGCTCTGAAGAGTTCCCTGTCAACCTGTAAAACCATTTAATTCTCAATGCAATCAGAGGGGCCACTTCCTCAGCTTGAAGCAATATACATTCCATGAGAGGGAGACACACAATTTTCCATACTCACCAATTTACTGCCAGGGATGAAACATAAAAAATTAAGTTTGCTGGCAATTTGAGACATCAAGAAAGCACTAATAATTGTATTGGTTTTAGGGCATGGAAACCTCTATACACGTATTTCTAGGATTCATTTACATTATCTCTCCTTCCCTGGATCACAAATGTTTTTTGCTCCTACTAATATCCTAGCCATACTTATATATAACATTACAGGAGAAATTTCTCAGAACAATTACAAGAGCCATCTCACTTCTAAGATGATATTGGTAAATTTTGGGGAAAATATTTAATTTAAAGGCAGAACTATTTGTTCTAAGATGCATTGTCCAGAAATAAATGCAAAATATTCTGTAGGAAAGCCCGCTTCCAAACAAGTCATGCTAATGAGAGTCATGATTCACGGTAAATCCCAAATCATGAGCTGCTCCACCTCACCTGCTCTGGATTCAGTTCCAATACTGCCCCTACCTCCTGTGAGAGTTGTGGCTTCTGAGAAAAGAGGAGAATAAAGAGGTCTGGGGAATCTGAGATACTGGGGAAAAGTATCACAGTGCTAGTTTATTATTGCAGCTCTGCAAAGTTATCATGCATTCCAGATGAGGAACTCGTTCTCATTCAACTACCTGTGTGGAAGCCTCCAGATGAAATGGTTGTCCCAGAGAATTCTCCAGAAGTACCTAAAATGAGAAAAATAAAGGAGCTAATAGGACAAATAATACTGGAATCATCAATGTGTTCCTGAACCACTAGAAGACCTTTCCTAAGAACTCTGGTTTCCAAAGGAAATTAACAATGAATAACTTTCCCCCAACTATTGACAGATGATTTGCTATGGATTATCCTTTCCCCTGCAGCCTATTCAAAGACAGTAATAGCTTAAATTCAGTTAAAAAAGGAAAGATGCTTAAATTCACTTTACTAACTTCACTTTCAGTGATGTAGTTTCCTGGTGTTCCTGGAGGAGGAAAAATGTCTTGAACATTCTAAATGTTCTCGTTTGTGTAACTGATAATATTGTGATAATCAGATGTATAATAATATACTTCTATGAGATATTTATACCTCCCACTGGTGATTTTAAGTAGTTCATCCTACCTGGCTTGGGACCCTGTGAACCGCTGCTGGCACCAGGTGAAACCGTGGTGGTAGTTGTCGAAGTAAACAGAGTGACACTCAAAATAAGTACATACTTGTTACTCATCTTATATTCCGTAAGCAATCCTTTGTACCTGACATTCTCTTCTCAGTGAAAAGAACAGACAACGGTCTCTGCTTTGTGAGGTTTCCATTTGTGGGAGAGGGATCACAGAAAATAAACAAGTATAATAAATATGTTCAATAGATGTCAGCAGGTTATAGTACTTTGTGGAATCATGAGGAGCAGAATGGAAGAATTGGGGGTTCTGCAGAGGCTGCTGCAAGTCAGTGGGCCTCAGCCAGGTGTCCAGAGTACTAAAATTGTCACACAGGAAATGGAGCAATGCCTGACTTAGATAACCGAGTGATAAGGTTTGACTCTCAGTCCCCACTCATATCTCATGTTGAATTATAATCCCCAGTGTTGGGGGAGGAACCTGTTTGGAGCTGATTGGATCATAGAGGCTGGATTTCCCCTTTGCTGTTCTTGTGATAGTGAGTTCTCACGAGAACTGCTTCTTTAAAAGTGTGTAGCACTTCCTCTTTCACTCTGTCTTTCTCTACTGTCACCAAGTAAAGATGTACTTGCTTCCCCTTCACCTTCCACCATGATTGTAAGTTTCCTGAGGCCTTCCCAGCCATGCCTCCATACAGCCTGCAGAACTGTCCATCATTAAACTCGTTTGCTTTATAAACTACCTAGTCTCAGGTAGTTCCTTAAAGCAACGTGAGAACAAACTAATACACCCAGTTTCTGAAATTCTTTAGCAGAATAACTCAGAAGATCAGAATACATGTTGTGCTTCCAGATAAAAAGTAACTGTCTTTCCTTGGCCCTCATTCTCATTTATGTGTTTACCTCAGTATCCCACAACAGGGCAAAGATGAGAACTCTGAAGCCTGGGGACTGATGAAGCTTACCTTCTGGAGCTTCTGATCCAGTGGTCCTGACCCCTCTTGTGGAACCTGTGGCTTCTGAGAGAAAAGAAAACAAGAATAAAGACTGCAGTATGAATACATACAGGGTTACGTAGCCCTAGGAGCCTGTCACCTGAGCAGCCAAGGTGTAGTATTCCCTGTGTGCTTTTGGAATAGCCTGTCTTGTCATTCCCAAGTTCCAGAGTCTTTCTAGAGAATGCCCCAGTGGTCTTAAGAAAGTGGGTAATGGGCAACAAGCAAATAAATTGATAAAATCTATATACTTATTCAATATGTCAGTAAACTGGGTTTTAAATGCTAAAATGACATCTGTATATTTCTCATATAATATCCTTCCCACAGTATATCTACCAAAGACATTTTCACTTATCGATACTTTTTTTTTTTTCTAGTGTTCTGGAACAGGGAAATGGGGGCTATCTCTAGATCATTTATATAACTGTCAATCAAATGACTGTACGACTGCCTTGGGTGTGGAAGGAGAATCTGCTTACAGCACAGGAAATAAGAATGAAATTTGAGTTTCCGATCTTTCATCAATGAACAACGGTAATATGTTCTCGATCAGTACTCAATATGGGAGAATCCAGTCACATGGATTCATTTCGCACCACAGTCTTTATTGGATATTATTGGCAAATGAGTGCAATGACCCAGCAATGCTCACCTGTGGCTATTCCTCCTCTTGTTGATGCACTTCCTCCTATGGAAGTTGTGGCCTCTGAGAGACAGAAAAACAGAAAAGACATATTTGAAAAATATTCAATCACTATGAAATGAATAAGATATTACTCTTAAAAAGACAAGCACCAGAGAAGATATCAAATTATGGGAGGAGCTCTGAAGACTTCCCTGCCAACCTGCAGACTCACCTGTACTGGAACTGCCAGGGGCAAGGGTTGTGCCAGGAGCCACCCCAGTCGTAGCTGAAACACCAAGAGGACTGGGATCACCATGGTGATTAATCTTTCTTTCCTATGGACCTGCCTCTAGAAAGAATCTAAATCTAACTTATATCTAACTAGCATTTTCCCTAGCTCTTCCCTGATGATGAGCCCTATGTATTTTCTCATTAACCGTTTGATTACCAAAGCAACCAAAGTGACAATGTTCTCAACCTGTGATAATCTTCCTGTCAGGAGGACAATGTGGGTTTCTCCCATGCTCACCTGTTCTCCTCCCTGTGTCTTGGCTGTCAGATGCAAGAGTGGTGCCTGCTGTGGGGTGGTTGCTGAGAATGCCATGAGTGTGCTGAGAACTCCAGACATTGTGAAAATATTTAGCTCTTCATTTGTGAAAAGGAAGCATTGACACAGGGCAGGTGTGTTTCCTGGGTTCTTGTAGCTCCTCTGTGTTTCTCAGCAAGTTTTATCACCCCCTCCTGTTTTAAAAGCTTCTAATGTTTGTAATTTCACAGCAGAAGTTACTTAGAACAATCAGTATAATCATCCTGTCTTCCAGGATTAGAAGTATGATTCTGCAATCTGTAATTAGTAGCTTTTCTGGAAAAATGTCTAAACTGATAAAGAATTTGTTGGCCAAAAATGTAGTATTAGTAAAGTAAATACAAACTGCTCTCCAGAATCCTCCTCTCTCTAGTCTCGCTATGAGTGTCAAAATCTGAAAACAACAAAGACATGAGTTGCTCCTTCTCCCCTATTGTGAATGAAGCTTCAGTGGTGCCAACGTGTTCTGCAGAAATTGTAGCCTTTGAGACAGGATATGGAATTGTAAATTCTGGGGAGTTGCACTAGTGAGAAGACAGATTTTGTGTTATTCATCAGAACAACTCTACAAAAAAACATCATTTCATCTGTGTGTCCATAGAGACGGTTTTCTTTCAACTTTACCTGTGTTGGAAATTCCTGTTTCAATAGATGTCTCAGAGCCTACTCCAGTGATACCTAAAACAAGAAAAAGCAAATTTAGCAAATTCATCATGGAAGCAACTAAAAGGGCCTTTCTCAGGACTTAATGTTATAAATGGTGCAAATGCTAAATTAGGAGTGTCCTTCTCTCATTTCATTTCCTTGGCTCATTTATTCGCAGGCGACTTGCCAGTGAACACCCCTACATTCTAGCCTGCTGACAGAGGGATGGAGGCTCATTTCATGCCTGCCTGTTTCAATTCCTGTTATGTCTCCCTGGTGTACCAGGGATGACTACAGAGGGAGAAAAATGAAATATAAAGTTCTTTAGAAATGTCTCTGTGATACTTTTGTGGTTGATTTCATGTCATCCTTAAACCATTCCCATGCACACACATACACATGCACAAAACTCACATAGGAGTAAGAGCCAGCTTACATTTTCTTTATGGAATTTTACCTGTGTTGGAAACTTCTGAAATGGTACTGACTTCAGGAGAACTGATAGTGGTGCCTGTGAAAAAAAATTCTGTGAACTTTAAAGCAATGACGGTCTCATTCCTGACTTCAGAGAACTAGTTCTGAAAGCCAGGACTCAGGCACACTTGTTGGAGGGTCATGAAAATGGCAGTTCCAGAGGGATTCACAATTTGACTTGGCCTTGTGTAAAATGTGTCCTCAACCTTCGTATTCTTCTGTTTTAAGCTGCAATCCCAAACAATGAATCAACAGAACCCAAAGTCTTGGAATGAGAACACTCACCTCCTGACGGTCCTGCTCCAGGAGTCCCTGTAGCAGTTGTAGCCTCTGAGAAAGAAAAGAAAGGGAAAAAGTAAGAACATGCTGACGGTTGGGTGTGGTGACTCACACCTATAATTCCAGCACTTTGGGAAGCCAAGGCTGGCAGATCACTTGAGTCCAGGAGTTTGAGACCAGACTGGACAACGTAATGAAACCCCATCTCTACAAAAAATAGCCTGTAGTCCCAGCTACCTGGG
Organism: Homo sapiens; assembly: GCF_000001405.40. Classification (NCBI taxonomy): domain Eukaryota; kingdom Metazoa; phylum Chordata; class Mammalia; order Primates; family Hominidae; genus Homo; species Homo sapiens. The sequence continues at coordinate 40,499,212 of NC_000012.12, read as the reverse complement.
AGGCTGAGGTGGCAGGATCACCTGAGCCTAGGAGGTCAAGGCTGCAGTGAGCCAAGATCATGCCCCTGTACTCCAGCCTGGGCAACAGAGTGAGACCCTATCTCAAAAGAAAAAAAAAAGAAAAGAAAAGAAAAAGAAAAGCATGCTGGGTCAACTGTATTACCTAAGTGGCTCCCTCCAGGATGTCCTGGTATGTGGTGACTTACCTGAGACATAACTTCCAGGTTTGAGGGTTTTCCCAGAAATTCCACCAGAAGTTCCTGAAATAAAGAAATGGTGGTCAACATGCCATGACTAGGGAATTGCTTTTTCAAAAATTTGTATTTCTTACAATATATTAGGATGCTCTTTCTTTGAGCTTTCGAATGGCAAGAATTAATCTGTGTTTCCAATGTAGCATCTCTTTCTTATAGCAAATTTCCTAACAACATTCTAGGCGCTTTAGTGTCTTTGAGATTCGGTGCTTGGAAATGAAAGTTTTCTCAGTACACATATATCCAGTGGCCAGTGACTTGACTTCTTAGTGCACTGAATGAGCTCCTTAAGGTAGAAGGAAGTCTTAGGCTCCTCAAGCTTGTCATTTGTTATCTAGTAACTGCTTTGCATTTTTTTAAAGGTTTAGTTTATGGAATAAAGCAGTGTGGCTGCATTTCAGGCAACACTGCTTAATGAAAGATGATCAAAAAGCGCAATAATGGCTTAGCAGGCTGAGCTGGAGCTATTCCACCTACAGAGATTCTGCTTCCTCCTAGGAACTTCTGGCCTCTGAGAATGAGGAAAAGAAGAAAGACACAATTGGGAAGACATTAAGGATTTTGGATTATTATCATGATAATTTTGCCTAGAAATAAAACCTGAGGAGATAGCTCCTTGAAAGAAGTTCCAATGGGAAAATTCTACTCAGCTTGTTCTCACCTATGTTGAAACTTCTAGGGGCAAGAGTTGTGCCAGTGGTTACCCCAGTGGTACCTGAAACACAGAAAGTCCAGAGATCACCATACTGACTCATTCTGCCATGAAAAGATCTGAATCTAGACACTATCTGTGTGTTCTTTGCTATAACAAGTAGCCTTTTCTGGGTACTTAACAAATCTATAATTCTACGAGTTTCTCTGCTTGAACTATTCCATTTGTAAATCATAGGGAGTGACAATGTTCTCTACTTGAGATGTCCTTTCCTGGCCTTCCCTGACAAAGATGAAAAATGATCTTCTCTTGTGTTCACCTAGTTTGATCTCAGTATGCCTTAGCTCTCTGCTACAAAAGACAGTTTATATATACTGAGTACCTGAGACAATGAGAAACTGCTGAGCATTACTCCTTCTTAGTGGGGTCAAGGAAGGCTTTCTGGAAAAGACAGCATCTAGATCTTTACCATTGCCTAGGATTTGTCTATGTGAAGTCCAGGAAGGGAACATCAGGCAGAAGACATAGTAAGAGCCAAGGTTTAGGGAAACATAGCAATATGTGTTATATGAACATAGAATGAGTAAAAAATAACTGGAAACTTAGCTCAAATTCAGTGAGAAAACAACTTTCTAGTGATCAGTTTATAAAATTTTATAAAGGAACTTCTAACAGTGCCAACAACTAATTCAAGTGAGGCTAAAAGTTGTTATGTGAAGGGGGCTGATGAGAAGTTTGGAAAGTAGATGGGGTCTCCAAGGACTCAAATACTACACTAAAGCATTTAGAATTTACTTGAAGGGCAATGGGTAGCTGCTAACATAGACTGATGACAGAAATGACATGAATAGAGATAACAGTCAATAGAGGACCACTGACCACTGCTTCGGATAGAACACATCTGAGAATAGAGAAAACTGGAAGAGAGGAAACTTGCCTACAATAGTCTAGACTAAAGGAAATGCAGAGGAGTAGAAAGAGCTCAGGCGTTGGAATCAAAAGAGTTGTGTGGTTTTAAACAGGTTAAAAATCTCTGAATCTCAGTTTCCTTACCAGCAAATTAGGGAAAATAATGCCTACATTATTCAAATAGATAGTGAATGAAAGCTAAACATATTTCAGCTGTATTGAGTGTTTGTTATACACAAAGCTCCCCATGTAAGACATTAATGATGCATAAGGCTTGGTCCCCTTTCAACAAAGGCAGAATCTAATGGATCAGGGGGACAAGTATGGAAATAATCACCTCATCAGATAAGGGCCATGAAGAGGTTTTAAATCAGTGAAAAATAAGACAAAAATGCCTGTTTTCAGGGAGCTTATATTCCAATGTTAAGTGCTAAAAGGATCAGAAGGAGAAATCATTTTTTTTTTAAAGTGAGATGTTCTAAAGAATCAGCTTCTTGGCCAGGCATGGTGGCTTGTGCCTGTAATCCCAGCACTTTGGGAGGCTGAGGTGGGCAGATCACCTGAGGTCAGGAGTTTGAGACCAGCCTGGCCAACATAATGAAACCCCATCTCTACTAAAAAATGCAAAAAATTAGCCAGGTGTGGTGGCACACACCGTAATCCCAGCTACTCAGGAGGCTGAGGCAAGAGAATCACTTGAACCCAGGAGGTGGAGGTTGCAGTCAGCCAAGATTGTGCCACTGCACTCCAGCCTGGGTGACAGAGCAAGACCCTGTCTTGAAAAAACAAAAACAAAAACAAACAAAAAAAAAGAATCAGCTACTTTTGCTTATTTTTTAAAACTGTTTTTAAGTTTAAAAAAGAGATATCAGGATACATTAAAAGCTAAATAATTTTCTTGTAAATAGTAGGTGACAAATAACTCTTAATATGCTGAGAAATACTGTGCTACCTCTTTTTAATAAGGGGGATGTTTTGGTAGTGATTTTGGTCTGTCTGAGTTTGTATACTTGTATACAATCACTGTAGAATTTAAGTATTATATAAAGGATTCAATACAACTTTATTATGATTTAAGAAGGCATGAGAATAGAAATATCAAAAGCCCTATTCTACAAAAATCAAATTTGAAGTTCATGTTTTACTAATCAGATAAAGTAAGACTTCTGGTACCATGTGTTCTATTCCATTAATGTAACATTATATTTTCAAATGCACATTCATAATCTCATATTTTTTCACCTGCTACTTCAGGCTTTTTTGATGTCACCGAAATTTAAAAACAAATATATTTATAAATGTAAATATTTGATTTATTTCCATTTACAAAGGTTAATTTGTATATTAGGTTATAATTTGAGACGCATGTCACACACAGTCCTTTAAATGTTTTTCAGTGCTCAAATGGAAAAGATAGAAATTCTATTTCAAGCACATTGTGCAGAAATAAATTTTCATGTCATTGAATTTCAGCTTACCTACAATTAGTTGTGGTGGAATTCTAACAGAGCTTACTAAAGGATAAACTAAATCCACACTTAAATTAAAGAATTTATTTGAATTTCCTTTAAAAATTTTGCTTCAGTGTGGCAAATGCCATGATAATTAAATTTTGTTTAAGAAACAGATGTTATTCCTATAGAGGCTTATCTTAGAAATTTAAGTCAGAGTAAATGTTCTCTTGTGAGACATATTGTAAAGTGCTCTTTTAAATAATCGTGTATGATTTCTATGATCACAGATTATCAAACTGAAAACAAAACACTGCCTTTTTTCTAAGAAAAATATTTATACACAGGTAATTATTATTTGGTTACATTTAATTAAAGCTGTTTTGAGATTATAAAGTGCCAAAAATGATAAAAGACATACTATGCCCCAATAGTCACACACTGTGTCCCAATAGCTACCTGTTCATGGCCATGTTGTTAACTTATAATTATGTTGTTCAATATATAATATGAATCATGCCAATTTGTTTACATTTGCATAACCACAGATTGAATAAAGAGCCAATACAAATTTAGTTTGAATTAAATTACTGAATTAATTATTTTCTAGCAAACAGTTGGTAAAATTAATTTACACAGGAGACTTTATAACAGTAGTTAGAATAATGCGGCATAAATCTTCACAAGAAAAAAAAAAGGTAAGCATTCTATTCCTTAAACTATTAATGAGCAATGTAGTCATTAGATTCTGGGTTCTGTTAGACACCTGCACATTGAGAAATGATGTATTTTTCAAGTGCTATCATACTAATATATTACTAGTTGAGAACCTTAAGCAATAATATACTGTAGCCTTGAAATAATAATTTTGTTCATTTACTCAGTGTTAGGAAAAAGAAATTGCCCTATAAGTATTTGTGAATCATTGTAAAAAGAAGGAAAGTTATAAAATTTGGACTTATAAAACAATAATATTATAGTTTTGTCAAATAAAATTCTCCAAATCTTATTTCAGAATAGGAAGTGCCACAGTTTATTACAATAAAAATCTTATTTTTCTTAACCTGCTGCTCCAATTCTTTTAGTTAGAAATGGGAAACATTTAAGCTTTGTGATTTTAAAAGCGAGCTTTATTGGTGTTTTTTGTTTGTTTGTTTTGAGACGGAGTCTCGCTCCGTCGCCCAGGCTGGAGTGCAGTGACCTGATCTCGGCTCACTGCAATCTCCGCCTCCCAGGTTCAAGCGATTCTCCTGCCTCAGCCTCCTGAGTAGCTGGGACTACAGGTGCACGCCACCACGCCCTGCTGATTTTTATATTTTTAGTAGAGACGGGGTTTCACCATGTTGGCCAGGATGGTCTTAATCTGTTGACCACGGGATCCACCTGTCTCGGCCTCCCAAAGTGCTGGGATTACAGGCATAAGCCACCGCGCCTGGCCTATTGATGGGTTACTAAAGACATCGTATATTTTGCTTTAGCAAAGGAAGGCGTCACACTGAAGAGCACAGTTTTGGAATCAATAAACAATCGAGAAAAATATTGATTTCACCATTTGGCTTGCTGCAGGAACATATCAACTTAGATAATATCTTCGTCTAAGTTCCTAATGAGCAAAAAGAGATAATAATGTTCATTCAAGTAATTTATGAGATAATATATTTAAAGACATTGTAATTAACTGGCATTATTATTATTAATGACTTCACTGTTTTAAATTAAGCAATGAGCATGAAAACAAATCAAAAATACATCTGACATCCCCCTGCTTACTTACCAGTAGTGGTACTTCCTGGTGCAATTGTTGACCGAGGGATGGCTCCCGTGGCAACTGAGATTAAAAAGTGTAAAGTCAGGAGCAGTGTTCTTATTTTATTGGAGCACTATCCAGATATTTATCAACATAACTACTTTGAACCCAGTTGTGGTTCCAGTACCTGACGTGGAAGCTATGCTTTCACCTTCAGCTCCTGGGGAAGTTGCAGCAGGCACTCCAGTTGTAGCTGAATTTAAAACAAATGAAAAAGAATCTTAATAGCATAATTCGAAATTTTCATTTGTACTTCTCCCTGACATCTCAAATTCAACTTTCAAACATGAAGCTGTGATCTTCCCACCGCAAACTGCTGCTCCTTCACATTCCCTATTTTAATAACTGATAGAACCATCATCCTAGTAACTAAATATTAACTTGAAAAGTACCCTTAACGAAATCCCCATCAAACCACCGCCAAATTCCCTTGATGGTTCTCCAAAAATAGGTTTTGAATTTTTCCCTTTTTTCCATCCACCACCATAATTTATCCTAAACCATTGCCTCTTACCTTGATTGAGCAATAGCTTCCTAGCAAATCTCTCTGCTTCCATTTTCACTTTATACAATTCTTCACATTTGCAGTCTTACTGATCTTTTAAAAATGGGAAGCTGATCATGTCACTCTTCTGTCTCTCACCTTCTGGTAACTTCCCGTAGCTCTTAGCAACAAGTCTAAAATCCTTAACTTGTGCGGCAAGGCTCTGTTGTGTGTGAACAGGGTCCTTCTGACTTCTCTGGGCTTATTTTGTACACCCTCTGGCTTCCTAACAGAGCACTGGGAACCCTGGCCTCTTTCTACCTTAAACTTTCTAAGATCCTTTGACTTCCTTCCCCATGGAGCTCTCTTAGCATTTCCCTCCCTGTCTTATCCTCTTTATCTGACAACTGCCTCTTCATTCTTTGGGACACCAGGTGGAAGGTCACTGTCCTGGCACCCTCACCTTATTCTTAGCACTTAACATTAATTGTAATACTATTGAGGTACTTCTCTCTTACTGGCTAAATCCCCCACTAGACAGGATGCCCTGAGAGTAGTGGCCCTGTCAGACTCATTCACTTCTGTGCCCACACACTTATCACAGTGTCTGACACACAGATGGCAATAAAAATAATTAAAATTTAATTAAATAGTAAAACATGAGACACTGCTGTTATAATAGAAAATGTCCAAATACTTCGGGTATAGTAGACTTTTCATCAATCTGATTTTCTTTGAGAGGTTGCATTTGGCATATCTGAGACTCCATTGAGATATTCCCTCCAGGGAATATATTTCCTTTCTGCTCTAGTTTATACCCACTGCCATAGGAGGGAGGATGGTGTAGAAGGTAAGAAATAGGCTCTGAGGACAGACCTCTCTGGTGTACACTATCACTTGCAGCAGCTAACTAAACTTCTCCTTGACTTTCTCATTTGAAAATGTGAATAAAAATAGCATTTATCTCAGCAGTTGCTGTGAAAATTAGTGACATGTTTACATAACTTATAACAGTTCCTGGCTGACCAAAAAGTGCTCAATTATTTTCTTGCTTTAAGCTTCTTCATTTAAGGTTTATTTCCTGATAAAATCAGCACTGTAAAGACAATTTGTTTTCCTTCCATCCTAGTCCTAAAACACCTAATAAAATATAAGGTCCTAAATACTATTAGGTTGGTGCAAAAGTAATTACGGTTTTTGCCATTACTTTTGCACGAACCTAATAGATGATTTGGATCTGACTTTCTGATTTCCTTATTTACAATATACTCATTACGATAATTACATTGATCAGAAAACCTTATGTTCAGTTTGGGAGGCAAAGGCAGGCAGATCATTTGAGGTCAGGAGTTCGAGACCAGTTTGGCCAACATGGTGAAACTCTGTCTCTACTAAAAATAAAATAAAAATAAAAATAAAAAATAGCCAGGCATGGTGGTGCGTGCCTGTAATCCCAACTACTTTGGGAGGCTGAGGCATGAGAATTGCTTGAACCTGGGAGGCGGAGGTTGCAGTGAGCTGAGATCTTGTCACTGCACTCCAGCCTGGGTGAGAGTGAGACTCTGTCTTTAAAAAAAAGAAAAAGAAAAAAAAAAAAAAAAAAAAGAAAACCTTATGTTGAGCTACAGTTGGGACCAAATTCTTCCAACCCCACTTGCCTGATTTTCCAGGTGTGGTTAATCTGGTCCTGCTTTCACCTGCTCCAGGGGTAGTTCCATGTGGTTCTTCAGTTTTGCCTGGTTAAAGCACTAATTGATTATCAGCTTTACATGGTTCATCTTAGTAAATATAATGAACTTACTGCCCCTTATGTAAAATTCAAATTTAGACATTGATAAATCTAGGTCATCTCTTAATCATTTCTCCACTATTTAGGTCCTTGGTTAAATCATAATTGATTCGTCTTACGATCATAATTGGACGTCTCAGCCACGCTTATGTTGGACCACACCACAGTACCCAGGTGAGCTGTGCCTGCTGGGTTCCCAACTGTAGTGGCCCGAGTCTGGTCCTCCAGCTGTGCATCCCTTGCCAACACCTACAGTAGTCCTCATGAAAACATAAACTCAAAAAGTCTAAGGAATCTATAATATTCTGGAAAGCCCCCATCATTGTTCACCAATTTGAGTTCTTAATAACATATTTAATTGTGATAAATTTACACAGATTCAAGTCTGGAACACCAAAAATTACGTTATTCACATTAAATGACCCATCTTTAGCTAACTAGATTTGCCTTCAGGGGCTGTAACCTTACTTCCTGGCTCTCCTGTAGTTCTTCCTATTACAGTGGTTGTGCAAACTGATGGTTCAGTTGTCCCTGTCACTCGAGCTGGTAGTCCATTTGTACCTGTTATTCCAGCTGATGGTCTAGTTGTCCTTGATTCTTCAACTGATGTTTTGGTTGTTCCTGTTTTTCCAGCTGATGGTATACTTGTCCCAGATTTTGCAGATAATCCAGTTGTCCCTGTTACTCCAGCTGATGATCTAGTCTTCCCTGTCACCCCAGCTGATAGTCCAGTTATTCCTGTCACTTCAGCTGATGATCCAGTGGTCCCTATCACCCCAGCTGATAATCCAGTTGTCCCTGTCACTTCAGCAAATGGTCCAGTGATCCCTGTCACTCCAGCTGATAGTCCAGTTTTCCCTGTTGCTTCAGCTGACGGTCCAGTTGTCCCTGTCACTCCAGCTGATAGTCCTGTTTTCCCTGTCACTCCAGCTGATAGTCCACTTTTCCCTGTCACTCCAGCTGATAGTGCAGCTATTCCTGTCACTCCAGCAGATGGTCCAGGTGTCCATGTTACCCCAGCTAATGGGACAGTTGTCCCTGTCACTCCAGCTGATAGTCCAGTTGTCACTGTTGCTTCAACTGACAGTCCAGTTGTCCCTGTCACTCCAGCTGATGATCCAATTGTCCCTGTCACCCCAGCTGATAGTTCATTTGTCCCTGTCATTTCAGCTGATAGTCCATTTGTACCTGTTATTCCAGCTGATGGTCCAGTTGTCGTTGATTCTTCAACTGATGTTCTAGTTGTTCCTGTTTTTCCAGTTAATGGTATACTTGTCCCTGCTTTTGCAGATGAAACAGTTGTCCCTCTCAATCCTGCTGATAGTCCAGTTATCCCTGTCACTCCACCTGATGATCTAGTTGTCCCTGTCACTCCAACAGATTGTCCAGTTGCCCCTGTCACTTCAGCTGACTGTCCAGTTGTCCCTTTCACTCC